>NC_000001.11:230426545-230578060 GCF_000001405.40 Homo sapiens
TACAGGGACGCGCAGCCCGGGACCGCCACGCGCAGCGCGGGAGGGGGAGGGCGGGACCGGGGAACAGGAGGGGAGGGGGACCCGGGTGCTTCCAGCGGTCCGGGCCCGCGGACGGAGTGCGGGCCGATCCCGCTCACTGTCCCCTTCCGCAGTCCGCGTGCAGCTCCAGGGAGCTGTCCGCCCCGGTGGTTCTGAACCAGGCGCCGCCGAAACGCTCCAGGTAGGCGGCGGGCCCGAGGTCACCACACCCGCGGCGGCGGCTGCTGCCGAGGTTTCCTGGGGGTCACTGCCAGCTGCGCCGCATGCTCCCATAAATACAGGGGCTGTCCAGCTTCTGGGAATCTCGCTCTAATTAGGAGCCCGCCTCGCCGGTCCACTGTTGGTCGCTGGTCAGATGCTAACTCCGTCTCGCTTCAGTATCCCTGTAATTTAAGGGTGCCAGCACTGGAGTTAAGTAGCTAGTCATTCCTCATCATCGTTGACGTGTGGCATCTTTTGAACTCAAAATATCCATTACTTCCAAATACTAATTACTCTCACACCTCTATTTTAATATCTCCTTCACACACACACTTGAAACACTCATGTACTGAAATATTGCATGATCACCCAGGCTTCAGTGCTCTCATAAACAATAGCACAGAAAGGTTGCATCCGCCCCTCTTCCTTGGGCAGGAATGTGTGGTGGTCATCCTGTTGATGGCGATACGCGTAACGGAGACTGCCTTGTCTTCTTGCTCCCCTCCTCCTCCTTCGAATAATGCAATAAGTCACACTAATGGTAAATGGGCCATAAAGTCACTTTCACTCTGAAATAAAATAAATCCTCAGAGATGTGAAGGGCTTACAAATCCTACTGAGCATTAACTAAATTGTAGTTACATGAAACAGAAAGGCATGTTGCGATTTCTACGAATGCATAAAGGATGAAGGACCATTTTGCCGCCAAGTGGGGTCACTTCTAGTGTCGAGCAGGAACCTTCACTCATGCCCTCCCCTCCCCAGCCCCTGTGGTTCCTCCTTCCACATCAGGGGCTCTGCACAGGCATAGGTTCATGATCATCACTAACAGACAATATATAAAAAGGAAAAGATTCATGGAACTTTCCTTGCTATGTGGATTGGCTGAAAAATGAGGAAGTGCTTGCAAAGCATTTTTACTCTCTTGGAAGAATTATGCCACGGAAAATATCTGGTTTCCAACATACCTATATACTGTGCTAACCAGCTGAAAGTTGTTGAAGAGAGTACAGGTAATCTGACTTATCAAAAAGGGTGATAGTAAAGCATAGGTTGAAGATGCAAGAAGAAGAGTAAGACTCCATAGCTCAAGTTCAAATTCTGCAATTAGGAATTGTGTGAGGCTCCTGCAAGATTTCATGTTATCTATTTTAAATAGTTGAATGGAAAAAATAATTGAATGGGATTCAGAGAGTTAAAATCTGTAGGAAAGAGTTCCTTCTTTTCTTCTCCAGCTAGCCAATGAAAAAGTCAACAGCTAAGGTACGTGTTTTAAAAACGATGAATTGCTTTGCTACCCATAAGGAACCAAGGAACAAAACAACAGCAGTGGCAAGGATGGACAGAGTCTTCCGGTGTCCCTAATTTGCATTTGTATGGTGCTAATTCCCAGGAAACCTTGGGGCCTTGTGCTTCCTAGGCTCACAAATGCTTGTAGCTCACACCACATGCAACACTGAGGAGAGGATTATATGGACACAAAAGAAACACTGAGAAGTCAAATTGTTACTTCAAAGCTTGTCCAATAAAAATTAGATGAATATTTCAACTTAGAGTGAAGTATTTTATAGCACTTACATTTGTTTAAGCCAGTTTCCAAACAAGAAAAGTAAAAACATTCCAACCTTTGAAAACAGATGACTGCTTCTCACTGTGGTAAGAGAAGGAGTGAGGGGACAAAACAATTGCAAAACAAAAGCTTTCTCCTCTGGCTGGCATCCTCCTATTTGATAATGACGATTATGATTCTACATCATTAACTTTTATTAGTAACATCATTTCTGAGAGTAATTATAGAATATATATCACACTGAGATCTTTTAACTTTGAGTCATTTGAAAACATCTTCCAAATAATTTAATTATAAAATATAATTAAATAATTTTAGATTAATATTGAGCTTTTGGTTTTATGGTTTTCCCAAACAGCTCAAGGTAGTAAAAAGCAATTCATTTGTGTAGTAGATTCCTTAGGTTTTGTTAAACCAATGGTTCATGCTTTTATGTAACTAGGGCTAAGCACCATATTTCATTAAGTCTAAACCTCCTTTCATGGTACAGTGAACCATTGTTTTATGTATCACTAAAAAAGAAAAAAGTGCTGCCATAGGAAACTATGATACAATGGTTCCTTTTCTGTTCTAATTATAATTTAAACTTATTGAAAAAGCTATTTGATCATAATTTTTGGACAGATTTTTATTACGTATCACTCTATTGCATGCATACAGATAAAATATAAATTAATTGATTAAAGTTTTCCGAATTTCACATTCAGAATCTCACTATCCTTGTTTACTTTCTAACTCAGAGCTGTCAATGCCCAGGTTTTCTCCAGAATATGCTCCTCCAAGTCACTCAGAGCATTTGGTATGCTGCATTTCTTACACAAGTGCTCCTAACTCATCCAAGCTACTGGCCTCCCACTCTATGTGTCCCCCAAGCAGGAGCATGCTAGCTGTGGTCAGCCAGCACTGAGGAGGCAGATGACAGAGCTGAGAGAGAAGTGGTAGCAGATGAAATCAAAGAGGAAGTTGGGTGGGTGTTAAATCTTGCAAGACTTCAGATTTTATTTGGAGTGATATGGGGAGGCACTGGAGAGCATAGAGCAGAGAAATAAGATCTTGATGCTGATGTTTTGTTTGTTTTGTTTTGTTTTGTTTTGTTTTACCTAATCCAAGGTTTTCATACAATAACTAGATTCAATTTCCTTCTTCCAGTGGTTCTCAGCAGGCCTGTGGCCTGGCACACCAAGGGGTATATGAGGTCAGGCATGTCCTAGGAATAGCAATGAAGTTGGCATAGACTCAGACTCTGTTAACTGCACAGGGATTTTCACTTGCCCAGCACCAATTATAAGACATTCCTGATGTTAGTGATGTGAAATATGAAAAAAAGGAAGTGGGCATCTTAGAAGCCATCGAATACAGTATATATATTTTTCCTCGGCAGTTTTACAAGTCTTGATTTTGCAAATAGTCAAGCTGTGGCAGGACACAGAAATGAACATGAATGCTAATGTGGCAGAGAGTGCCCTGGCCAGCTCCAGACTGCACAGGCCAGATGAGGCTTGAGAAGTCTGCGTGTTGCTGGTCACTCTGGATGGAGACGGCAGGGATGGTGTCAGTGAAGCTGCTGCTTCTCCCCATGTTGCCTTCATCACCCAAAAGGAGGGGGCTACAGCCAAGGAGAAGCTCCTGGGGCTGCGAGAGGGTAGGGGGAGAAAGAGTGCAGCTGCTGGACAGTGGCCCGCATGTTGGGGAGGAGGTCGGAGGAGAATATGCGTGGCACAGGGTGACATTTGGGGTCATATCTAATGCAGGGACCTAAGGGTCCAACCTCTCTCACAGTGCTTTTATGTGGTAAATTTATCTAGGAGCCAACACAGAGAGGCAGAAAGAAGGAAATAGGACAATCCTCTGGAAAACTCTCGAGAAAATTCCCTTGTGTTCAGATTGAGATGATCTGACTTTTTCATTGATTGATTGATTCATTCATTCACTCACTAATTCAACAAATATGTATTGAGTCCTATTATGTGCCAGGCTCTCTTCTAGGCACTGGAAATAAATCAGAGAAAAAGAACGAAGACCCTGTTTTTATAGCACTTACATTGAAATGGTGGCGGGGGGTGGGGAGAGAAGAGACAAAAAATAAACAACCCAGTAAATATGTATATACCTGTTGTTGATAAGAGATAAAAAGTAGAGGGACAGAGACTGATGGTGGTTGTGATTGTGGTGGAGTGTGTGTGTGTGTGTGTGCACAAGCTTGTATAAATTGGTTGGGAGAAGTTGCTCTGATAAGGTGACATTTGGGCAGAACCTTCAATGGATTAAAGAAGCAAGCCATGTGCATTCAAGGATGAGAAACAAGTGCAAAGCACCCAAAGCAGGAGCACACTAGCTGTGGTCAGTCAGCAATGAGGAGGCAGATGTGGTTGAGACAGAGATGAGAGGAAGTGGTAGCAGATGAAATCGAAGAGTTGGGTGTTAAATCTTGCAATACTTTGTAGTTTATTTTGGGTAAAATTGGGAGCCACTGGAGAGCATAGAGCAGACAAATAAGATCTGGCTTGCATTTTAAGGGCCTCTCTTTAGCTGCTTAGAGGGAAATAGATTGGAGCAGAGGAAAAGTGGAATCAGGAAGACCAGTTCAGATACTATTGCGATAGTCCAGGCCATAAAAGAGGGTATTTGGGACCAGACTGGGAGTGATGGAAGTGATGAGAATTGGTCAGATCAGAATATGTCTTGAAGGTAGAACCCACAACTTTTATGAAAGAATTAAATGTGGACAGTGAGAGAAAGAGATGAGTTGAGAAGGACTCCATGGTTTTGGCTTTGCTCTTGTTGTTTGCATGGGCTACTGCAAGAGCAGCAGGATTGAAAGGGAGGAACAATAGCTTGGTTTTCAGCTGTAGAGTTTAACATATCTGAGTGGGTCTGGAAAGCAGGTAGTTGAAAACAGGAATCTGGAGTTCATCCAGGTCTAGGCTGGAGGTAAGATTGTGAGTGCCATCAGCAGATAGATAGTAGATACATCTTGTTTGCTTTGTTGTTGTTGTTGTTGTTGTTTTGAGACAGTCTCATTCTGTCACCCAGGCTGGAGTGCAGTGGCTTGATCTGGGCTCACTGCAACCTCTGCCTCCCAGGCTCAAGCAACTTTCCTGCCTCAGCCTCCCAAGTAGCTGGGATTACAGGCACCTGCCACCACGCCGGGCTAATTTTTGTATTTTTAGTAAGACGGGGTTTCACCATGTTGGCCAGGCTGATCTCAAACTCCTGACCTCAAATGATCTGCCCATCTCGGCCTCCCAAAGTGCTGGGATTACAAGCCTGAGCCACTGCACCTGGCAGTAGATACATCTTGGATGAAACCACCGTGGATGGAGCATAAATATGGAGGAAATGGGTGTGAGGGGGATTCCCAGAGCACATGATTTCTAAACATGAGGCAGATGAATCACTCAAGGAGACTGAGAAGGCTGGAGAATTGAGACAAAGTAAAGTCCTGGTGGCTAAGAAAGTATTTCAAGGAGGAATACTTTCAAATAACTGTCAAATGCTGCTAAGAGATATAAGAAGAGGACTGAGAATTAACTTCTGGGTTTGTCAGTGAGCAGACAAAACTATGATTGGAGTGGATCTGAGAATGGGAGAAGAAATGGGGGTATTGAGTCAATATAAAGTTTGAGGAGTTTTGCTGAAAAGGGAGGAAGAAAGGGGAGGTGCCAAACAGGACTAAGGAGTTGAGGGAGGGATTTAAAAAAAAATCAGATGTTTGAATGATTGTGGGAATGTTTCAATAGAAAGGATATGGGAGAGATGCTGGAGAGAAAGGGAACAGTTGCCAAAGCAAAATCCTTGATTGCTTGAATGGTGGCGAGTTGGAATGCACAAGTAGAAGGTTTGTCTTATTGCAGAAGGCAGTGAAGTAAAGACTTCGTGCAGGCACATTCCTAGATTTAGTGGAAGTCTGCTGTGGTGTTCTTTCCTTACTGATTTGATGTTCTCAGTGAAGTGGGAAGTCAGGTCATGAGCTCTGCCTGATGAAGGGAGGGCGAGGAGTTTAGCTTCCGTTCTTGGCTGTACATTAGGATCACCTGGGGAGTTTCAAAAACACATATCCAGGGCCCTGATCCACACCAAGTAAATTATTATTATTACTATTATTTTTGAGACAGCGTTTCACTCTGTCACCCAGGCTGGAGTGCAAAGGCACGATCTCGGTTCACTGCAAACTCCATCTCCCGGGTTCAAGCGATTCTCCTGCCTCAGCCTCCCAAGTAGCTGGGATTGCAGAAGCCTACCACCACACCTGGCTAATTTTTGTATTTTTAGTAGAGACAGGGTTTTACCATGTTGGCCAGGCTGGTCTCAAACTCCTGACCTCAGGTGATCTACCCGCCTCAGACTCCCAGAGTGCTGGGATTATAGGCATGAGCCACTGCACCAGAGCACACCAAGTAAATTAGATTCTCTGGAGGTGGGACCTGGGCACTGGTGTGTTATAAGGTTTCTGGGTGACTCAACAGTGCAGCCAGAACTGAGGATCCCTGGGCTAGGAGTTTGAGGAAAGAATGTGTGGAATAGTCAAAATAGCTATCTAGGAGAGTTCAAGGATCAATGGACTAGAGAGAAACAATCTGGATTTGTGGTTGAGAATTTAACCTGAAATGGGCCACCATCGTTATGTTTCTCTCTAACTGCATTCAGTTGTCAGGCTCAGAAACAGGGTTGACAATGGATTGGGTTTTGCCAAAGTGGGGTTTTGACACATATGTATGGCGGAGTGGGAGAGTTTGAGAGATTGATCCTAATGATGGGCATGGAATCTGTGCCAGCAAAGGAAGCAAGTGAGGACTTGGGGGAAAGAATTAAAGTACATTAAATGGAGGTGGGTACAGTGGCTCATGCCTATAGTCCTAGCACTTTGGGAGGCCGAGATGGGCAGATTGCTTGAGCCAAGGAATTCAAGACCAGCCTGGGCAACATGGTGAAACCTCATCTCTACCAAAAAACAAACAAACAAACAAAAATTAGCCAGGCGTGGTGATGCATGCCTGTAGTCCCATCTACTCAGGGGTCTGAGGTGGGAGGATGGCTCGAACCCAAGAAACAGAGATTGCAGTGAGCCATGATTTCACGACTACACTCCAGCCTTCTAGCATGGGTGACAGACCCAGTCCCTGTCTCAAAAGAAAAAAAAAAAAAAAGGAAGTAGTTGGGAGATAGATAAATGGCTTCTTATCATGAGATTTTTTTTTCTATTTTAAGTTGTTTAGATAATTAACATTTTCACAAAGTAATTTAAGGCAGCTAGACACCTGCGAAGCAGCACAAATAACTCTGATTAATGTTTCAACCTACCTTTTTTTCCCAGGGTTTGAAATTAATTTTTTTTCAACAAGCAAACATCATGAGACATTTAGAGTGAAGAAAAAAAACATTTTGGAAAATATTATAGATCTTCCTATTCTTAGATAATGGGATAATTTAGTGAGCCACTGCTGATTCCAAAGCCCCTTTCCCAGTTTTGTAAGTTTGTCTTGTGTCTCTTCCCTGTCCCCTTGGCTACATCTTCCCACTTTAAACACACCCAACCCCCACTCTACTTGTTCCCCAACGAAATGAAGGGCTCTGATACAAGTACCACCCCTGAAGTGCATTTGCCTGTAAAGGAGAAATTGCAGGTTGGTGCTTAACACAAATGAACAAAGTGCTTAGCAGTAGGATCCCAGGTATTCTAAGAAGCGGAGAGGGATACTCCTAGCTGGGAGCCTTTCATAGCACTCCTGAATTCACAACCTCACGGATGGCACAAGTGCAACTTAAGGTCAACACTGGGTTGTTTTTGTTTGTTTGTTTGTTTGGTTGGTTGGTTGTTTTTTGTTTTGTTTTTTGTTTTTGAGACAGAGTCTAGCTCTGTTGCCCAGGCTGGAGTGCAGTGGCGTGATCTCAGCTCACTGCAAACTCTGCCTCCCAGGTTCAAGCGATTCTCCTGCCTCAGCCTCCCGAGTAACTGGGATTACAGGCATGAGCCACCATGCCCGGCTAGTGTGTGTGTGTGTGTGTGTGTGTGTGTGTCTGTGTGTGTATGTTTAATAGAGACAGGGTTTCACCAAGTTGGCCAGGCTGGTCTCGAACTCCTGACCTCAGGTGATTCACCTGCCTCTGCCCCCCAAAGTGCTGGGATTACAGGCATGAGCCACTGCGCCCGGCCAGTAGTGGGTATTTTTTAGAAACAACATTTGGTTCTTTACTGAAGGCTAACAAATGGAAGTCCATAAACATAATAATCATCTTTAGTCAGAGGCAGTGGCTTGTGCCTGTAATCCCAGGGCTTTGGGAGGCCAACGCAGGAAGATCCCTTGAGGCCAGGGGTTCAAAACCAGCCCAGACAACATAGTGGGACCTAGTGTCTAAAAAAAAACAAAAAAAAGTAAAGTTTTATGTATGCTTTATGTATACCAGAAACTGTGCTCAATGATTTACATAGAGTATCTGGTTTAACCCTCACAACAAACCCTACAAGATCAGTATGCTCGTGACCCTCATTTTGTAGATGACAACACTTAAGAGAGGTGAAGTCAATTTTCCAGTGTTGTTCAACTAGTAGACAATGCAGTCAGAATTAGAACTCAGATCAGGCAAAGTGGCTCAAGCCTGTGTAATACCAGCGCTTTGGAAGACCAAGGTAGGAGGATCAATTGAGTCCAGGAGGTCGAGGCTGCAGTGAGCTCTGATTGTGCCATTGCTCTCCAGAATGGGCAACTGAAGAGATCCTGTCACAGAAAAGGAAGAGAAAAGAAAAGAACATAGGCAGTCCAGTTCCAAACTGAGCTCTTAATGGAGGCTACCTATAGTTTTTTGACTGTCACCTGCTCCCTATCCCACTCCTACTTAGGGACTATCAGCAATCTCTAAATCACAGTGGCTGTGCATGAGGAGTAACTGCTGGCTTTAATAATTTATACCCAGGATGGAAGGGCTGACTCATATGTTCTGCTTCAGCTTTTTCCTCTGCCCAAGAAACTATCCATCCTTCAAACCATCAATATTAATTGTTGTTCAGGGATGAATTAAGCTGCAGCGGTCACACACAGTTTACTGTCAACCATGTTTCTTTCAGGAAACCTAAACATCACAGCATTCACTTGCAGATGAGAAGGAAGAATGAAGGGGGGATGTTAAGAGCAACTCCCAGAAATATTTCTGGTCCAATAATGATAGCTAGCCCTTACGTTACTCTTGGAGTCATTTTGCTGGTGCTCCAAATGTATTAATTTCTCTTAAGGTTACTTGCGCCCTCATAATAATCAACAGCTCTGGGCATGGGTCAATGCAGCATGCCATTTGCAGAATTTCTGCAGTTTGGATGCATGGGTCAGGCCTTTTCCTGAGAACCCTGTTTAAGGGGAAGAATGACAAGTGGGCAGAAAGCTATCAGGTGGGAGGGAGCCTACGACATTTGTAGAATGGAGAAGGCAGTGCTCCCTACTGGCCAAGCATTTCCCAGGAGAGCCCACCCCCAATCCACAATTTGGAGAGTTCTGCTCTTAGATTCCTGCCCACTCCGGACCAGTGGGATGCCTCCTTCTCTGGGTGACAGGACTCTTTCTAAGGAACCTTCGTTTAGCAGAAGAAGACCAATTCAGACTCCCCCCAACAACTCCACTCCAGTGTGTCTGCCTCTGCCTTCATCTTCTGGCTTTGTCTTCCTGGTCAAGGAGACCCAGCCAAATCCCCCACTGGGGCTGCTTAACCAAAGCTGGAGGCCACATACTGGGTGTATGACCTTAGGCAAGTGACTGGATCTCACTGAACCTTAATTGTAACATCTAAAGGGTAGGGATGTTGTGAGGGTTAATTAAGAGAATGTGGCTGGGTGCAGTAGCTCACACCAGCACTTTGGAAGGCCAAGACAGGAGGAATGCTTGGGCCTGGGAGTTTGAGACCCTTCTTCTACAAAAAAAAAAAAAAGTCAAGTACTTGGGAAGTTGAGGCAGGAGGATCATTTGAGCCCAGAGGGTCAGGGCTGCACTGAGCTACAATGGCACCACTGCACTCCAGCCTGGACAACAGAGCAAGACCCTGTCTCAGAAAAGAAAAAAAAAGAGAATGTTACATTGAGGTCATGAAGTTGGGGGCAGTGTTATCTTGACAAAATAGAAGGCGAATCAGTATTCTAAATGATATTCATATTTTATATTTATATATGTAAATATATATAAAAAGAAATTTAATATACATATTTATGTTTATCTCAAGATGCAGCACTGCCCTCCGGAGCTGTTGAAGAGGAGCAGGTGTTTGCAGAGACTCACAAAAAGGCCCGGCCCCAGTTGAAAGACCAGCCTTGCACTACTTTATAAGATGCTGCCAATGCAGAATTGTTCATGAAGCACATAGAGCTTTTCTACCTCAGCACAAACAGCATTCACTCTTCAGGTCACTCATCCAGGCCTGCAAGAGACGGTGAAGCAGGTTTATTCTCCAGGCCACTTAAGTCATCTAAAGTATCCCCTTTTTGGGCAGAAACAGGTGACATTAAGAGAAACTTGAAAAAATGTAGAGTGTGGGATCTTCGAAAGATTGGATAGCTCTGGCCTCCTCCTCTCCCAGCCACCCCCCACTCCCAGGCCCAAGTGTCTGCTCCACCAACATAAATCAGTGTTGAAATATAAAGATTGAGCTGGGCGCAGTGGCTCACGCCTGTAATCCCAGCACTTTGGGAGGCCGAGGTGGGTGGATCACTTGAGGTCAGGAGTTGGAGACCAGCCTGGCCGACATGGGGAAACCCCATCTCTACTAAAAATACAAAAAAGTAGCTGGACGTGGTGGCATGTACCTATAATCCCAGTTTCTTTGGAGGCTGAGGCAGGAGAATCAGTGGAACCCAGGAGGTGGAGGTTGCAGGGAGCTGAGATTGTGCCACTGCACTCCAGCCTGGGTGACAGAGTGAGACCTCCGTCCCAAAAAGAAAGAAAGAAAGAAATATAAAGATCTATGCATTCCTAAATCTGTTTGTTCCAGAGACTTTCCAAGGATCAAAGCAAGAGTAAACTAAAGGTAAACCTGAGAATGGAGAACAAAGTTACTCTGTTTCATCATTATCACCTCCCTTACACTCCTGGAGGTCAGCAGTCCAAAATCAGGTCCCCTACACTAACTTCAAGGTGTCTGCAGGGCTGGTTCCATCTGGAGACTCTAGGGGAGAACCCATTTCCTTGCTGTTTCCAGCTCCTGGTGGCCACCTGCATTCCTTGGCTTGTGGCCCCTTCCTCCATCTTCAAAGTGCATCACCCAATCTCTGCTCCCTCACCACATCACCGTCTCCCCTTCTGTAGTCAAATGTTCCTCTGTCTCCTTTTTATAAGCATTCTTATTATCATATTTATGGCCCACGAGGATAATCCAGGATAATCCCCCATCTCAAGATTCTTAATCATGTCCACAAAGTTCCCTTTGCCATGTAAGGTCTTATTCACAGGTTCCAGGGATTAGGATGTAGACACTCTAGAGGGTCATTATTAACTCACCACACAAGTATTCGAGAATTTTCTCTGTATTCTGGCTTTATCATTTGTTTTGATTAAAGAATATATATTTAAAATATGCTTTTATCTTAAATATAATTTCTATCTTTCACATTTATGACTGTTCTCATACAACTGAGGTTTTGTGGTATATATAAAATGATCTTTGACCAATCTTATTAATTCCCAAGGCTCAGCCCTGGGATTTAGGGATTTGATTAAGACCTATTTCCAGGGAAACTGCTGATGGCTGCCTTCTCTGGATTTCCCGCCAAATCTCCATGCTCCCTCTGCCTGGGAATTGTTTTCCAGTCTTGACTGATTATATTTTTTTTATATAGAGAAGGGGGATCTTGCTACATTGTCCAGACTGGACTTGAACTCCTGGCTCAAGCAATTATCCTAACTCAGCCTCCAGAGTAGCAGGGACTACAGGCGTGTCTCACCACACCCAGCAAGACAAATTTCTTTTTATCACCATGCTTTCTTCCAAATCTCTTGTCTATGCCACAACTCTTTTCCATTTACTGATGAGCTTTTGGAAATTTAAAAATTGAGAATAGACTAAGTTTTCTCTGCTCTCTCCCCTCACCTCTATTCCCTCAGTCCTTGAGCACAAAATGTTATATCTTGTGCAGTTAAATAAAGTAAAAAAAGTAAAACCTGGGGATTGTGAGGGGGTTGAAACATGCTGAGAAAAACCAGTCAATTGATATTGAAAACACGCCATCCACTGCAGTTGTAAAACAACTGGACACATTCCTTTAGTTTTGACTCTAGTCTCCAAGCCGAAAGGTGGCTGGGGAAAGAAAGTGGAGGGACAGGCGGGGCTGGCTTCGGGGTGGAAATCCGTAGACACAGAGACCTGCCCTCAGGAGTGCCTGGAGCTGGGTCTTGTGCTCTGCGGTGGATGGGTTGAGATTTTCAGTGATTTTATCTTTGAACTTGTGTTTTGTGAGTGAAGTTGGTGGGACAGAGGAGCATGTTTCTGAGCATAGGAGGTAGGATGACGGCTGTGTCCTGCACTTCTAGCCTCCTCATCTGCATGGAGCATTCAGGGTGCCCGTGAGCCCAGCATTACCCAGGACAATGTGAGAGAGGGCAGTGAATACAAGCAAAGCGAGTGACATCTGCCACTCAGTAAAAAAGGGCATGGGCCACCCACAGAGGCCACATGCTCCCCGCACACCAGAACTTGCACCAGATGCAGAAAGAAGGCAATGTTGTTCTAAGAAACATGAACAACCAGGAACCTCAGCATATCCTTCCACACCCCTATTACTTCCCAGGGTCAGCCAACCACTTACGCTGAGAATGGTGACATAGAAGGAAAGGAACAGATAGGGTAACCCATAGTTCCTTGTCTTTTCAGCCCTTCCTTACTCATCAGTTAGCCAGAGGAAGGAGTGTTGGTAGAATGTGTGTGCATCAAGAAGCAAAATAAAAGCAGTTGCGTTTATTTTGTGCAGGATTTCCACCCTTCTGTGAAGAACAAAATCCATATGCCTATACCAGTTTTGAGATTGAGTTGTGTCATTCTGGTGGGTCCACATATGAGTGATTCAAAGCTAGCATTGCAAACTCTAAAGATAAATGGTAAAATTCATCCTGATGATTAAAATTTCAAATACTTCTTTACCTAGGGCAGCATTAAATAGGAAATAAAAACACCATGACAAGCCAAGAGAGAGACCCCAGAAGAAAGAAAAATTCTTTCTATTTTAGTATCTTTAACAGTGCTTTTCTTTATGCTTTTTGACCAAAAGGTCCTATATTTTCCTTTTGCACTAAGGTTGCAAATTCTATAGCCAGCCCTGGGAACAGCTGTGCAGTAACTGGATGACCCTGTGGGGCAAATGCCAATGATTTCCTTCCCTGCCTCCTGCCCTGACACAGTAGCGCCACACAAACCCCCCAAACTGAAATAAAACCTTAGGGCAAAAGGAAGGACCCTCAATTTGAAAGAGATCATTTCTGAAACATAGGCGTATTAGTATACTAGGGCTGCCACAGCAGAGTCTTACAGACTGAGTGGCTCAGACAACAGAACTTTATTTTCCCACAGTTCAGGAATCTGGAAGTCCAAAATCAAGGTGTTGGCTGGGTTGATTTCTCTCTCTCTCTTTCTTTCTTTCTTTCTTTCTTTCTTTCTTTCTTTCTTTCTTTCTTTCTTTCTTTCTTTCTTTCTTTCTTTCTCTTTCTTTCTTTCTTTCTTTCTTTCTTTCTTTCTTTCTTTCTTTCTTTCTCTCTCTCTCTCTTTCTTTCTCTCCCTCTCTCTTCCTTCCTTCCTTCCTTGCTTTCTTTCTTTTCTCTCTTTCTCTCTTTCTTTCTGTTTTTTTTTTTTTTTTGATGGAGTCTGGCTCTGTCACCCAGGCTGGAGTGCAGTGGCACAATCTCGGCTCACTGTAACCTCTGCCTCCCGAGTTCAAACAATTCTCCTCCCTCAGCTCCCAAGTAGCTGGGATTACAGGTGCCCACCTCCATGCCTGGCTAATCTTTGTATTTTTAGTGGAGACAGGGTTTCGCCATGTTGGCCAGATTGGTCTCAAACTCCTGACCTCAGGTGATCTGCCCGCCTCGGCCTCCCAAAGTGCTGGGATTACAGGTGTGAGCCCCCATACCCGGCCTCTGGGTTGATTTCTTCTGAGGCCTCTCTTGACCTGCAGAGCACTGTCTTCTCCCTGTGTCTTCACATGGTCGCAGCTCTGTGTGTATCTGTGTTCTAACTGCTTCATCTCATAAATACATAGGTCATATTCGATTAGTACCCACCCTAATAACCCTGTTTTAATTGAATTACTTCCTTAATGATTCTATCTCCCAATTCAGTCAGATTCTGAGGTCTTACAGGTTAGGACTTCAACATATAAATTTTGGGGGGACACAATGCACCCCATAATAATAGGCAAAATTGCATTTGAAACAGAAATTTAGACACATTTCAGAAAACTAAAATTATATTTCTTGTGCACCTTAGTAGATAGACATATGGTGAGCCATCCTTTGCACTTCCATGTAACTCCACATATCCACAATCAAAACAACTCCCAAGGCTCCCTAGTGTGGGATTTGGCCCCTTTATGTTCAGTAGCAACATAAACCTCCCTGGGGCTTTTGTTTTGTTCTAGCAGAAAATTAACAGGAAGAGGAATTGAGCATTTGGGCATCTCGTTGGTGTTTGTTCTTAATCATACTCTACTCAATCATTCAAACCTAATTAAGCTCTTGGCATCATAGAGCAGGGATAAGTTTAATTACATGTCATTGGCCGCCAGTGTGCCTTTCTTATTTTTGTTACTATTTATGTTACTTTTAGATACAAGAGACAGGCTTCTTTTAAAATCCATAATTTATCAAATAAAAGACACTTGTTGAGCACCTTCTATGCCCAACACACTATTAATTGGCAAAATTAACCATTTTGCCATTTCCTTTGAAGAGAAAGTATAACTTCGTTTTGTCTTCCTTGAGAAAATTTCTCCAGGGAGAATCCTAAAAGTTCAGAAAGGGTTCCAAAGAAATCCACTGGCAGCTGGCTGAATCATTCTTCACAGTAGAGCAGAATCATTTTAAAACAGGTTAATCTTGAATATCCAGGCAAAGAGACTGTTTTAAAGTCATCTCAAACCATGGGTTCCATTATTATGAGGAATAGTAGTTGTAATCTCAATAGCTACTGTTAAGAACGACTCTGCTTATTGAAAGCTGCTGAGCTCCCACTGGCATTATCTCATCATCCTTAGGACAGCCCACTGGGGACACATTATTTTCATCTTCGTCTTATGGACGAGCACTAAGCCTTGGTGAGAAGTCACACAACTCTCCCAAGGGCCTGGAGCTATTGAGAGGGCAGCTGGAATCTCCGTCCATTCTGATTCCAGTGCCTGTGTTTGCAAACACTGGGCGACACTGGCCTTTCAATGTGTGGGACTGCTGATGGAGGCAGAGGTGAGACAGCAAAGTCACCTGGTCCACCCCCTTCCTCAAGATGATCTCAGCACAGCCTGCAGTGACTGCCTCGGATGGGAATGACAGCCAAATGCTGTAGAGGGCGTATTTCAGGGAGTGGATATGGTGGTAAAGGTATGCTAAAAACTCACATTGTGGACGGAGGGAAACGAGGCTTGGGGTCTATATTGCAGTGGTCTCCAAACATTTTTTATTGTGTATCTCTCTTTCCAAAAAACAATTTTTATTCAGAACATATGACCAATGTAAGTATATCTATATATATATTTAAATGTATGTTTATTTAATATTTATAAATTATTTACTTACACGATTGTACTAAATTATTGTGGGCATTATAAATGTTATGCAAAAGATAAACATTTAAAAGGGTGACATGAAAATTAAATAAACTTCTGTATAACTTCTAAATTAATTCAAAACTTCTAATATTTTCTTCCCACAACTCACTGAGTTATCTTTCAGGTGCTGCTTTGCAGGACACTTTTTGAAAGAGAAATATGGCTCTTTGATTTTTACCATTAAACCCCAGGATTCATTTCTAAAGTGAGAAAATAGAGATT
This sequence comes from Homo sapiens, assembly GCF_000001405.40. Classification (NCBI taxonomy): domain Eukaryota; kingdom Metazoa; phylum Chordata; class Mammalia; order Primates; family Hominidae; genus Homo; species Homo sapiens. Next base: position 230,442,358 of record NC_000001.11, read on the forward strand.
TTTTTAAAAAAGAAATTTCTTCATGATGATTAGAGGAGACGGAAACCAGTTGTTCCTTGTCCCCTGATCTATAATTCAGCTCTATCAGTGTCTGGAAGCTACAACTCTAGGGCCCAAACCTCTCATCCCAGACTCAGTGAACCAAAACTTCAAAAATGTATTTCACTTAAAATCAGTCTAATCACATAATTCTTGTAGTCATTAATGCTCCAAAAATCAAAGTAAATGTTTGAGGCCTCCTTCCAGGTTAACAAACAAAACTGCGAAACCAACCTTTAGGGGAAACACATAACTTGACTGGGGAGGAGAAAACGGAATCATAGCGCATGCTAGCAGGATGAGTGTTAGAGAACTCTTTGCCACCCAGAGGGCTTAAGGTAGGGAGAAAAACAAAGAGTTATAGTGATCAAAAGCCAGCAGAGTTTTAGAATTCGACATAATCTACTTCCTGATGGAGAGAAGGAGAATGTTGTATGGGACTTTTTCTGTGGGAAGGAAAGAGAAAATGGATTTAGACTTCTGCAGGATTTTCTGATTATAAAAAAAATTAAGCATGCTGTAACACAGTACCTCAGACTGAGTAAATTATAAAGAACAGAAATTTATTTCTCACAGTTCTGGCAGCTGGGAAATTTGAGATCAAGGCACTGGGAGGTTCAGTGTCTGGTGAGGACTTGGTACATCCTCCCAAAATGGCGTCTTGACAGCTGAATCTTCCAGAGGAGAGAAACGCTGGGTCCTTGCATGGCAGAAGTACACAAGAGGAGCATAAAGGCTCTGCCCTTATGTCGTAAACACCCCCCAAAAGGCCACACCTCTGAACACTGTTACATTGAGAATTACATCTCCCTCACACGAACTTTGGGGACACATTTGGACCACAGCAGATGCCAATGAATTATTTACAGTGGGCTAGGAAGATGCCTGAAATAGGGAAGTGGGCTTTGTCACCATCCTGCCAGGTTGTCAGCATCTTATTGAGCACTTACCGTGTGCAAGGCTGTCTTTTACTGGAATGCCAAGAATCGATGTATGAATCTGATCGCTGGCTGCCATGTAAAATTGTTCAGATTGTGCACTGCACAAGGCCCCACAACTAAGAAGATAACCTTAATGTTACAGATATCTTTGTTATTTTGAACATTTTTTAAAAATTACTAATTTGTTGACTCCAAAGATGGGCAATTTATTGCTTATTATGACATTTTTCTTGGGTAGGTAGCATAAAACTGCCTTCTTTTTAAAAATTCAAGTCAATATGTTATAACAATTTTCTGAAAGGCAGAGATAAAGTGCTTCTTTCCACGTAATATGGTGTTCATAGTAGACTGTTGTATTCTTTAAGCCCAACTTTTATAGAATGTACATATTTCTCAATACAAAAATTTTAGCTGATGTTTATATAAAAATTAATTCCCAGTCCTGGCCCAGATTGCAGATGAAACCTCCACTATCATTGAGAAGCCATAGCAAAGAGTCTTTCTACAAACAACATGGGATTATGAAAGAAATTAGCCGTGCAATTTGTGGCTGATTTCAAAGACTCTGAAGAGGTGGTGGATGCCCAGGAAAGCTGTGATGCCTGCAAAAGCAGACACCTTGGAAGATAGTGAAAAGATGTCAAAGAGCTCTTTAAAAAATATATACTGAGGTATTATTGATCACTGAGTTTGAGGAAGATTAAAGTGAAGACCTGGAAGAGCATCATATCGACCCCTGAACATCACTGGTTTAAGTTAATGTAAGCAATGCTATCCCTATTCTTGATATGAAGCCATAGGATGGAAAGTCTTGCTTTTAAGAATGGCCTCATGCCTTGATAATACCCTACAATGAAATGTCTGCCCATAAGCTCTCAGTGTAAACAGAGATCCCCTGGGGAATTTTTTCATCCTGTTGTGTCACCAACTCCTTTGAAGATTTACCAGGATCCAGGAGCATCTACAGCAGTAGCTTCTCAAGTTTTGTCAGTTCCAGGTGTCTACCTTACTTGGCAGGTAACATTACAGGTAATATTCTTAATTTATTGTAATCTTCATTTGCATTTTCCCTGGGGGAACCATTTATTGCTGTATGTTATTTGGTGTGCTGTACTGCTAATGTAATGATGCATGCAAACCTCACCTGCTGTTGAATACAGAGCAAATGTTGGTTAACAGTGTATTAATTGTTTTGTGATCAAGAAGCAATATTTTAAGCATTTTATATTCCTTTTGAGTTTGTTACTTACATACAGGCATTTCATTGTTTTTGTTTGTCTTGTAAGTTGGTTAGAGATTGACATATACATTTCTGCTGACATATTCTGTATAATAAATTTGCCTTTTAAAATAATGGAGGAAACACTATTATTTTGTTGCTCAGAACATTTGACTTTCAAGAATGCATTAATTAATGCTAGGTGGGAAGTACCTGTGTGGTGTTCTGCTTTGATTGTGAAATAAAAGTCCAGTTAGATAAATGAAAGACCTTTTTGCCCAAACAATTTCTAAAATAAGCTGCTTCTAGACAAAGAACTGCTTTTCTGATTCATGTACTGATAACTTAAAATTAAAAACAAAACACCATTGTGGTATATCACATTAATAGAATGAAAGATAAAAACCACATACTCATCTCAATTGATGCAGAAAAAAACATTTGACAAAGTTCAGGATCCTTTCTTGATTAAAACCCCTTTCTTGATGCTTTGTACACTAACAACTATAAAAATTGATGAAAGAAATTAAAGAAGACACAAATAAATGGAAGTGTGTCTCATCTTCATGGATGGAAAGAATTAATATTGCTAAAGTGCCCATTTACCCAAAGCAATATACATATTTCATGCAATCTCTATCAAAATTCCAATTGCATTCTTCACAGAAATAAAACACACAATCCTAAGATTCATATAAAACCACAAAAAACCCCGAATAGCCAAAGCAATACTGAGAAAGAAAAACAAAGTTGGAGACATCACACTTTCTGATTTAAAATTACAGTATATTACAAAGCTATAGTAATCAAAACAGTATGGTACTGGCATAAACAGAAACATAGTCCAATGGAACAGAATAGAAAGCCCAGGAATAAATCCAAACATACGTGGTCCACTAATTTTTGACAGACACCAAAGGACACCATAGGGAACAGATAGTCCCTTCAATAAATAGTACTGGGAAAACTGGATTTCCACAAGCAAAAGAATGAAATTGGAACCTTATTTTATACCATACACAAATATCAACTCAAAATGGAAAAAAGTCCTAAATGTAAGACCTGAAATCATGAAAGTTATACAGGGAAATATAGCTCCGTGACATTGGCCTTGGCAATAATTTTTGGGGTATCACACCAAAAGCTTAGGCTAAAACAGCTAATATAAATAAGGCTACATCAAACTAAAAAGCTTCTGCACAGAAAAGGAAATAATCAACAAAATTCAAAGGCAACCGATAGATTGGTAAAAAATAATTGCAAACCACATATCTAATAAAGGGTTAATAACCAAAATTTATTTAAAAAACTCTTACAACTCAGTAGTAGGAAAACAAAAAAGCCCAATTAAAAAATGGGCAAAGGCCCTAAACAGACATTTCTCTAAAAAAGACACAAAAGTAGCCAACAGGTGTATGAAAAGGTACACCACATCACTAATCATAAAGCAAATGTAAATTAAAACCAGTATGAGATACCACCTCACACCTGTAAGGATGGCTATTATCAAAAAGACAAGAGATAACACATGTTGGTAAGGGTGTGGAGAAAAGGGAACCCCGGTACATTGTTGGTGGAAACGTAGATTGGTACAGTCATTATGGAAAAGAGTATGGAGGTTCCTAAAGAAATTAAAGATAGAACCACCATATGACCCAGCAATCCCTCTTCTGTGTATAAACCCCAAAAAGATGAAATCACCACCTCGTAAAGATAACAGCACTTCTGTGTTCATTACAGCATTATTCACAATAGCCAAGACATGGACACAACCTAAATGCCCATCTATGGACAAATGGGTAAAGAAAATGTAATATACATATTGTATATATGCGTGTGTGTGTTTATGTATGTATATATACACACACACACAGAGATACACACACAGTGGAATATTATTCAGCCTTAAAAAATGAAGGAAATCCTGCCATTTGCCACAACATGGATGGACCTGGAGGACATTATGCTAAGTGAAATAAGCCAGATACAGAAAGAAAAATATTGCATGATCTAACTTATATGTGGAATAAAAAAGTGGTCAAATACAGTTTTAATAGCTAATATTCATTAATCAATAAGCCACAAAGTATTACACAGACCTGTGAGAAATTACTATAAAATGGTCTGCTAATTATATTATGGCAATTACTTTCAATGATATGGAAATTTTATTGCTATATAAATTACATACTTATTATGTATGTATTACTTTAAAATTTTACATTCTAAGTTAAAATACTACAAAACACCTATGAAGACTGAATCCAGTAAAAAATAATTTGAGCCAGGAATACAGCTAAGCTGCAAATACGCATGGAAAACACAGTAGATTAAATGAAGGTATTTAAAAATATTCTGGGACATTCTACTTTCCTTCCCTTATACGTTATTTATTATTATTATTTTGAGACAAAGTCTCACTTTGTCACCCATGCTGGAGTGCAGTGGCACAATCTTGGCTCACTGCAACCTCTGCCTCCTGGGTTCGGGGGATTCTCATGCCTCAGTCTCCCAAGTAGCTGGGATTACAGGCACAAGCCATCACGCCCAGCTAATTTTTATATTTTTAGTGAAGACAGGGTTTCACCATGTTGGCCTGGCTGGTCTCAAACTCCTGACCTCAAGTGATCCTCCCGCCTCTGCCTTCCAAAGTGCTTGGATTACAGGCGTGAGCCATCTCGCCCAGCAGTTTTTTTTTTATTTTTAAACAGTCAAAATTCAGATAATGAAGAACTTTATTTTTCCTGAACCATTTGAGAGTTCATTGATAACCTGGATGCTCCATCACCTCCAAAGACTTTTGTGTGTATTTCCTACAAATGGGGATATTCTCCCACAGAATCACAGCACAAACATCAAAACCTGGATGTTTACATAGATGTGTTACTAGTGTTTAATCCATAGCCCCACGCATATTCTGTTGATTGTCTGATAACCGATCATGTGAGGCATGTAGTTGTTGATCTCTTAGTCTCCTTCAGTCTGGAACACTTCCTCAGTTGTTCCCTGACCCTCATAACCTTGGCACTTGTGAAGAACACAGGACACTTATGTTCTAGAATGTTCTTGCTTTGGATTTATCTGCCGTTTCCTCATGTTAGACCCAGGTTTTTCGTCTTTGGGAGGAATAGCACAGAAGTGATGCCGTGTTCTCAGTGCCTTGTCAGAGGTGACGTAGGATTTGAATTTGTCCCAGTACTGATGATGTAATTTGTTTTCTGTGACATTTCTTTCCACCTTAAAAATGTGTTATTTTTTAATTTCTTTGAAGACAGGGTCTTGCTCTGTTGCCCAGTGCAGTGGCTGTTCACAGGTGTGATCATACCACAATACAATCTCAAACTCCTGGCTCAAGCAATCCTCCTGCCTCAGCCCCCAAGTAGCTGTGACTACAGGTGTGCACCACCGTGCCCTGTTGGTATAATTTGATCACTTGATTAAGGTAGTGTGAGCGGGTCTTCTCTACTGCAGTCACACTTTTTTCCCTTTCAAAATTCAGAAGTATTTTGTGGGGTGGTACTTTAACACATGTAAATATCCCATTTCTCACTCAACTTCCCATTTATTAATTTCTCTTTGTATGGACTTAGGTTTTCCTGTTTTTTTAAATCTGTTACAATTTTTTTTGTTTGTTTTTTGAGACGGAGTTTGGCTCTTGTCACCCAGGCTGGAGAGCAATGGCATGATCTCGACTCACTGCAACCTCTGCCTCCCGGGTTCAAGCGATTCTCCTGCCTCAGCCTCCCAAGTAGCTGGGATTACAGGCCTGCGCCACCATGTCTGGCTAATTTTTTGTATTTTTAGTAGAGATGGGGTTTCTCCATGTTGGTCAGGTTGGTCTCGAACTCCCGACCTCAGGTGGTCCGCCCGACTTGCCCTCCGAAAGTGCTGGGATTACAGGTGTGAGCCACCGCTCCCAACCCTCCAATCTTTATTTATTTCGATACTCGTGTTATCCCCAGTTCGACCATTGGAAGTCCCATTTATGTTGATTTTGGTGTTCTTTTGACAAGTCCTCATCATTCTTTGAGCACTTTGGCACTACAAGGTATTCCGAGTTTATCTTGTACTTTCCTATCCAGCCCTGGAATCAGTTATTCCCCTGGTTCCCTTTAGCAGAAAATGGAACTTAGAAGCCAAGACCTGGGCCCTAGAAATACTCATTGCTATTGGGATGCCACTGATCTCAGGCAATTTAATGCATGTTGCTAAATATATATATGCATGCATTTATGTATACATGTACGTGTTTGAGCATACATACATTAACATCCATATTTATTTTTATACCTATATATATATTGAACTTGAGTTTGTGCAATTACTTTCTATGTCAATCCAATATACAGGTTAATTCTAATTTATTCCCCCTTTCCATATTTGTGACGACCTTCTCCAAACCTGATTAACCTGGTTCCCATTCTCCCTAGATGCTTACATAATTTGATCAGTTCCCCTGTACGTATCTAGTCTTGCATCTACCCTGCTGATGCCCTCTTTATCCTCACAGGCTCAGGTTCTCCGCCCTGCATTGCCCCTATCCGTGTTGGTACCCTCCTCACCCTGCTGTGCCTCCGACACCCTGCCAAGCTTCCCCTCAGCAGGCACTCTAACTCCTGGCACTGGGCTGCTGCCCCCAACTCCACCCCGTGGGGACAACCATCTCAGAGGCCCCATGCCAGGCTGCCCTGACAGAGGGACACCCTCTTCACTCTGTTTGGACACTGACACCTCACATCAGGTTCTGTGCCTTCTTTAAACTTGGTAGAAAACAATGCAGGAAAAAAAATATTTTGATACCACTTACACTTTTTGTGCTATCCCAAAATTATGCCACTATTTTCAACCTCAGTGAAAAATGTATTGAAAACACATTTACCAAACATAAATTTAAAATATTGTTGAATACACATTGGGAAAGTCAAATTGGTGCCTTCATGTCATGAAAATTCCATTGCTGTCAGCAATTTTGTTTTAGAGGTTCTTAATATTCAATAAAGATATATTCTAGATTTTAGCCAAAGGTATACCTTTTATTTATGCTCAAATACACATACATATACACACGTAACTAAAATATTTTTGCTGAGCAAATACACTTTAAAGGTATACCTTTGGCTAAAATCTACAACTTTATATCTTTATTGAATATTAAGAATAATATGAGTGAATACATTTGGTATAGTATATTAAGTAAAATTAATATTATTAACAAACAGTTACAGGAACCAAGATTCAATGTACATAATGCTCTTAAAAACATCAATGGGATTCAGAAATGTTTTGAAGAAAAATGAAGAGACAATATTTATAAGATATGTATTAGGAACACAAAACAAATTGCAGAGTCTCTTACATTGAAGCTAACTTCTCCGATGTAGAAAACACTTTTAAAAGACAAGGAAAACTCATTTAATCTTCAAATCCCATGATCAGCCCAACTATGATCCCAAATTAGTTGGAAAGTAAATTTCTTTTTTCTTTGTTACAACAGTGTCACCTTCCAAAGACAGGTTTATGATACTGCGCATCGTGACCTACCAGTGATCTAGATGCCATGTGCTTGAGAATCATCATGCACATGTGGCACTCTACTATGTGCAAATTTACAAAACAAGTATACTGTATATATATATAAGCAATGTGAAATTGATGGGATATTAACATACAAGGAGCTAAAAGCCTCAAGTTACTTTCTAACGTCTAGTATGTCCTGTGTGGATGTATTTTAATATATTTGCAGCAATGGCTTTATCAGACGCTTCTCTACATATTTCTGTACTTCTCAGGACTTATTTAAGTTTGCCAATATAGTTCCTCAGAATTCAAATGTATTGAAAAAGACTGAAGGCCTATAATGGCATAAGAAAGGCAGTCAAGTCTAACAATGACGTCTGTAGAAAACAGGGTATTGGGGCAAGTAAGCAATGAAACAATCTTCACATTGTTGTCATGAAAGCAAAATATGTAAGTATTTTATAGATTGGTGACTTTGAGTTTCTAATTATTGTGATTAAAATGTCCATTTTGTATAATTTAATTTGCAAAATCTATACAGATTAGTTTCATTTTGGTGATTATTGTTATTGAAAAACAAACAATTTAGTAACGCCAGTTTTTCCCTTTTTGGAAAGGGCATTCTTTTCTAATTCTCTGCAAGGTGTCATAGGGGCCTAAGCAGGTCTGGCATACTGGATAACCTCTGCCAGCTTCTGACTGTGCAACCTTCACAGGAAAGAAGGGAATCCCTGGGGGCGGGCAGGGGGTAGGGTGGAGATGATTAATGGATACAAAAATATAGTTAGATAGAATGGATAACATCTAGTATTTGATAGCACAACAGGGTGACTACAATCAACAATAATTTATCATACATTTAAAAATAAAAGAGGCCGGGCGTGGTGGCTCACTCCTGTCATCCCAGCACTTTGGGAGGCCGAGGTGGATGGATCACGAGGTCAGGAGCTTGAGACTAGCCTGGCCAAGATGGTGAAACCCCGTCTCTACTATAAATACAAAAATTAGCTGGGTGTGGTTGTGGGTGCCTGTAATCCCAGCTACACGGGAGGCTGAGACAGGAGAATTGCTTGAACCCGGGAGGTGGAGGTTGCAGTGAGCTGAGATTGCACTACTGCACCCTAGCCTGGGCGGCAGAGCAAGACTCTGCCTCAAAAAAATAAAATAAAATAAATAACTAAAAGAATATAATTGGATTGTTTGTAACACAAAGAAATGATAAATGCTTGAGGTGATGGATATATTTGCCCTGATGTAATTATTACACATTGTCTGCTTGTATCAAAATATTTCACATACCCCATAAATATATGCACCTACTATGTACTCACAAACATTAAAAATTTAATTTAAATTCAGGCTGGGCACAGTGGCTCATGCCTGTAATCCCTGTAATCCCAACACTTTGGGAGGCTGAGGAGGGAAGATTGCTTGAGCTCAGGAGTTCTAGATCAGCCTGGGCAACATACTGTGACCTTGACTCTATAAAAAATTAACTGAATATGGTGGCACGTACTTGTAGTCCCAGCTCCTCAGGAGGCTGAGGTGGGAGGATCGCTTAAGCCTGGGAAGTTGAGGCTACAGTGAGCTCTGATTGCACTACTGCACTTTCCAGCCTGGGCGACATTGCGAGACCCTGTCTCAAAAACATTTTTTTTATTTTAAATTTAAATTTTAAAAAAAGGCCAGGTGCAGTGGCTCACACCTGTAATCCTAGTATTTTGGGAGGCTGAGGCGGGTGGATCACCTTGAGGTCAGGAGTTCAAGACCAGCCTGGCCAACATGGCAAAACCCCATCTCTACTAAAAATACAAAAATAAGCTGGGTATCATGGCTCACGTCTGTAATCCCAGCTACGTGGGAGGTTGAGGCAGGAGAATCACCCGAACTCAGAAGGCGGAGGTTGCAGTGAGCTGAGATCGTGCCATTGCACTCCAGCCTGGGTGACAAGAGTGAGACTCCATCTCAAAACAAAATAAAATGAAGTAAATAAATAAGAAAGATGTAAGCCAAGGTGAGACAATAAATAAATAAATAAATATTAAAAATAAAAAGAAGGGAATCCCCGCAGCCCTTCTTACTGCCTTTAGGAGGTACTTATTTTAACCCCCAAGTTTCAGGTTAGACATTTCCCTACTCCTTTTACCTGGAAAATAACTACTTAATCCATGGGTCATAGATTTAAGTGCTTCCCTTGGGGCCTCCCTAACTCTTAGGCCAGCTTGGAGCTCTGGGTCTCTGCTCCCAGAAGACCCAACCTTTGGTGAGCAATTACACAAAAACAGTACTTACATGTGCTACCAGTCAGGTCTACCATCTGTCTGTCCTTTTTATCTCCAGAGAGTACTGCCTGGTTGTTCTGTGGTGAGCAGGTCTAGGCAAACATACTCCCAAAGGCTGAGGAAGTTGAGAGACCAAAGAAAGAGGCTGGCAATTCCAGTTTCTCCTAAAGAAGCATTTAATAGGGACTTATGAACAGAATTCTCAGCAGCAAGATGAGATGGTGGGTCCCCATGCTGCACTGTTACACCCCCCAGTTCCAAGGCTTATATACCATAGGGAAAGGGTACACATGCTTCAGAAGGAATTGTTATTTGTTGTTGAAACTTAACTAGGCATCATGGTTTGTTTGGGATTTTTTTGTATTTTGTTATTGGTTGTCTTGTTTTTTGCTAAATCTGGTAACCCTTTCTCTATGGCAGAGTGTAGTGTATAGGTGGCAGGAAGGTTTTGGATATTCCAGGTAAACCCACTGGATTGTGGGAGAGCCTGCCTGAAAGATGGGCTGAAAAGATGCAGGACAGCAAGGAAGCAGTTGTTCCACAACTCCTATTAACAAACGGTAGATCTCTTTCTATGTAACCACATTTAAATTGGTTTGGAAAAACCATGTTTGTTCTCTTCAGGCTGTCAAAAGACAAAATTACAACAAATTTAAAGATCTTAATTGGTTTTACTTATGATTCTAGAATTGGGCAACACCTTATTCTATACCAGAATGAATACTCCAATGAGCTGAGCAGAGAAGGTTGGTTTTTCAGACAGGAGAGGGCTGAGAAAGCAGAAACAAAACAAAAAGTGGATTGATTGTTTCAAAGATACTTTCCTTATAAAGATTAAAGCAGAGGGGACTCCCTTATCGTGCCAGCTAAAACTGGCTTGTTTGGGGATTTGGCTATCATCTCTCCCTCTCCTGATTTTTCAGGTCATATAAACAACTTAGTTTTGGGTTGGTGACATGGAACTTTAGCATGAGTGACTCCATTTTGGTTTGGTCTCTTGGGCTTAGTGCAGGAGCTCAATCTAAACCAATGGCCACCTATAAATTTTATTTCATAAGGCCTTGATGTCTTCATGTCTAAAATAAGAGGACTGAGTCACTGAATCTTTGAGAATCTATGAAAGCCGTGGATCTTTCTCTAAAAACGTGCTTATATGTTAAAAAGCAAAAACAGCAACAAACCAGGTACCATTTCAGTTTCACAACCCCAACTTGAGTGCCTTCCTAGGACCTGGGTCAGGGTGGTGTAAGGGCAAATAGAAACTAAAAATTAGAGGCTTAATTTCCTGTTGAAACTAAAGATAGAGACTTCTTCATTCTCTCTTTTCTTTCCATTTTTTTTCTGTCTTTTTCAAATGTAAGTCATTCTTTATAATGGCTTAATAAGCCTCTGGTCTGTCTCACAGCTCAGAAATATTTCCTCAGGGACCTGGGAGCTATTTTTGAAATGCAATATCAAGGGAGATAGCATCCCTATCTCCTAGTTCCTATGGGAAAGTAAGAACCTACTTGGGAGGGTAAAAGCCTCACTTTGCTGGGCTACTTGCTCCAATTCACAAAACTACCTTCTTTTTTGTTTTGTTTTGTTTTGTTTTTTGTTGTTTTTTTGTTTTTGTTTTTGTTTTGAGACATAGTCTCGCTCTGTTGCCCAGGCTGGAGTGCAGTGGCACGATCACGGCTCATTGCAACCTCCTGGGCTCAAGTGATCCTTCTACCTCAGCCTCTTGAGTAGCTGGGACAACAGATGTGTGCCACCACATCCAACTAATTTTTGTATTTTTTTTATAGAGATTAGGTCTTACTATGATGCCCAGGCTAGTCTTGAACTCCTGGGCTCAAGCCATCCACCTGCCTCGGCCTCTCAAAGTGCTGGGATTACAGGTGTGAGCCACCGCACCCGGCCTTACTTTCTGTTACAAAGATATGAGAAGTTTGTTTCTCCTCTGGATAAAGCTAACACAGGTGGACTCCCCATTACCATAATAAAGTTAGAAGGAACTATGTGTGATGAAAAATGCTGCCAAGCCCTGTTACTTGAAAACTAGTTATAATTTACCTTGAAAGCTTATATGTGTGAGCCAGACCTGCTTGGCTATATAATGGGGTGAGATTTCTTTGTCTTTGCAATCTTGTAGCAGATTGTGTTGTATCACATTCTGGTTTAATGCTTATTCAATAATAAAACTGTTTTCTGTTTCTACTACCTTTGTAGAGAGGATTTCTGAGTTGGGAGATTTTGTTTCTTTTAATTATATTTCCCCAACACTTTGCAGACTAGATATTCTCCATGGACCCTTCCAGCTCTATGACATTGTCATTCCATGGCTCTCATCCTGCTTAAGGAATAATTAACTCGTTTGCAGAAGTAGGAAATCATGAAACGCCTTGCACGTACCATCTTGGAACTTTTTTGTCAGGTGACTTCAAATGATTTTACTAATATTAACCTATTAGTTCCTGAATCTCTGCCCACCAGATAGGTCATAATTGGTTCTGCATTTGCTATTTATATGAGGAAATTGAGTCACAGGAAGAAAGGAGGATGTTTTAGGCTTTTGGAAGTGTTCTCTATGTACTGTATCTTATTAGATCCCCTTTTTCCATCTCCTTTGAAAGGGGATGAGCTCTAAGGAAGGGTAGGATTCTGTGGGAGGGGTGCTTGGGAGTGGCTGGGGAAAACCTCCTGGGAAGACCAACATGACTGAGACATCCTACATAATAGCAAAGGTTGGAGAGGATATTAACAGAGGACTATCACTAAGAGGGAGCAAGTTACTATAAAACATGTGACATGTTATTGTAAAAATAATTATGACACAACAATAGCTACCATTTGTTGAGCAGTCACTCTGAAGGCAATGTGCTAAGAACTAGATTTGTTTCTTCACTTAATTCTCAGGACAACCCTATGAGGTAAGCATAATCACCCCCATTTGATAGAAAAGGAAATTAAGGCCTAGAAAGAAAAACTCACCCAAGGCCAGAGAGTCTCCATAATATTCACCTTAATCTATAAATAGAGTACATGGCATTTATGAGATGGAGGGAAAGGAAGGTCTCACATTTCTACTCATTAATTCCAGTAAGATTGCATGTGCCAGGTCACAAAGAAAACATGTAGGTAGAAGGCAAATCTTGGGAATTTGGTTGGCAGAGTTTCCTGGGAACGCTGATGTAAGTGGAAGAGGCCACCAGTAGTCAGAACTAGGCAAGGGGTGGAGGCCAGTGTTAGCTGCTTCTTCCTGCTTCCATAATCTGTTCCCAACCTGGCTACCCTCTGATCAAGCCTAATCATGGTGGAAAGACCCTGAAGGAGATATTGTGCTGTCCAGATACTATTCTCCACATTAAGGCAGTGCCTTCCTCGACAGAGACTTGGAGAGTGGAGCTGTGTTGGTCTGGGACTCCTCTCTCTCTCTTTTTCTTTTTTTTTGCTTTTTTTTGAGATGGAGTCACACTCTGTCACCAGGCTGGAGTGCAGTGGTGGGATCTCAGCTCACTGCAACCTCTGCCTCCTGGGTTCAAGTGATTCTCCTGCCTCAGCCTCCCAAGTAGCTGGGACTACAGGCGCCTGCCACCAATGCCCAGCTAATTTTTATATTTTTAGGAGAGGTGAGGTTTCACCATGTTGGCCAGGATGGTCTCGATCTCTTGACCTCCCAAAGTGCTGGGATTACAGGCCTGAGCCACCATGCCTGGCCTGGGACTCTTCTTATATGCCCTCCAAAGCCAGAGAATTAGGACATCTCTGGTTGGCCTGGGGGATGATCAGATTCCAAGTCAACCCAGGTCCTTTGACCTCATGCTACCTGTAAAGTCCTAATTAGGGAAGAAGAGGCAGGCTGCTGGGACCAGGGGAAAACAAAGAGATAAAACAGATAAACTATAGGTCTGCCTTTCTTTCTGGTCCAGAGCATATAGCCCTCCTGCACAGATAATGTACATAACTCACACACTTTCTGCTTCTCATTGAGTGCTTCAATTTATCAAACACCTTGACTGACAGAAGAATGCAAGTTAGCTCCGGATACCTTGGTATTATCAAGCAACCCAAGTTCCATTCTGTAATTTCCCAAGCAAGCCTTTGCTTCCTTGCAGCCAGCTGCTCTTATGCTGATTCTGCCCATTGCAATGTGCAACGTATTTTCCTACTTTCTCTAATAAATCTGCCTTTCTTTACCTACAACTGTCTTGGTAAATTCTTTTACTCCTGCACCACTAGCCCAGATGGTCACTGCTCACCCGCGACACCATCCTCAGGTTCTCAGACGAGGGTTTTGAAGTCCTCAGACCTGGCTGCCAGCCACACGCGCCTAGAGTCCTCTTCTATCATCGTGCTTCCTGCAGGAGAGAAGAACTTGTTCTCATGGCCTGACTTAGAGCTGGCATCTGCTAACCTGGCTGTGTCATGCTGTCTCTTGGGGAAATGAGTTGAGGGAGCCACAGCAAAGATCTAACAACCACTCAGAATCCCTGGAACAAACTCAGCTGTGACTACGGAGCGACAGAGTTCATTATACAGGTCAATAATGCAAAATCAACCAATAATTATGTTTGTTCTGTACAATAATGAAATGAGAGCACCGAACAAATTCATAACCTTTAGCAGGCATTTACTTTGAGGCTCAAAATGACAGTTTTTAAAAGGTTTTGTCAGCGAGTAGCTCCTATAATTCACTGCTTTAACAATAAAAAGATAGATCTGAAGTTTAGGGAATAGATTTCAGAACTGACTTTTAACTTTGCCATTATCTAAATTGATTCCATTTGACCTAGTTTTGCTTTGCTTCAAGGTCAAAAGCACTTGTGGTCTTATAGACTGAATTTTTCAATATTTAAAGAACACGCTCAGAAAATTGCCAGTGGGCATAAAATATGGCCAAAACCTTGAATTAGTTGGAGCAGAGCAATCAGACTGGTGCCTTGTCTTTTATTTTTAATACCAAGACAGATAATTAATATTTATGGGACACCTATTTTGTGCTAGATACTAAGAAGCTGAGCATATTATATACCTTATCTTACTTAATCCTGACAAAAATTCTATTTGGTAAGCATGATATTCCTCATATGACATATGAGGAGACAGAGGCTATGACATCTCCTAGCTAGAAAATAGGATTCCAGGCCTGGCGCCGTGGCTCATGCCTGTAATCCCAGGACTTTGGGAGGCCAAGGTGGGTCGAGGTCAGGAGTTCAAGACCAGCCTGGCCAAGATGGTGAAACCCTGTCTCTACAAAAAATGCAAAAATTAGCTGGGTGCGGTGGCAGGCACCTATAATCCCAGCTACTCAGCAGGCTGAGGCAGGAGAATCGCTTGAACCCAGGCAGCAGAGGTTGCAGTGAGCCGAGTTTGCACCCCTGGGCGACAGAGTGAGACTCTGTCTCAAAAAAAAAAAAAGAAAAAAGGAAAATAGGATTTATTTTATTAGAGCTACCCAAGAGAAAAGAAACACTTCTCTAACTTTATCTGGCTAATATTTAGAAAACAGATTTTTTTTTTTTTTTTTTTTGAGACGGAGTCTCACTCCGTTGCCCAGGCTGGAGTGCAGTAGCATGATCTTGGCTCACTGCAAGCTCTGCCTCCCTGGTTCAAGCGATTCTCCTGCCTCAGCCTCCTGAGTAGCTGGGATTACAGGTGCACGTCACCACACCTGGCTAATTTTTGTATTTTTAGTAGAGATGGGGTTTCATCATGTTGGTCAGGCTGGTCTCGAACTCCTGACCTTGTGATCTGCCCTCTTCGGCCTCCCAAAGTGTTGGGATTACAGGCGTGAGCCACCGTGCCCAGCCTCAGAAAACAGATGTTTTAAAAATTGAGCTATAATCGATACATAATAAGATGCAAGTGTCTTGAGTGGCCCATTTGATAAGTTTCAGCATTGTTTACACTTCTGTAACTGCTTCCCCAAAACAAGATAAAGAGCACCTCCCTAACCCCAGGAAGCTCCCCACAGCCCTGCCAGTCAATGTCCAAGCACCCTGGGTGACCACTGCTCAGGTTTCTGTCACCATCGGTTAGCTTTTGCTGTTCTTTGAAGTCACATAAAATGTAATAATATAGTATGTACATCTTTGTATCTGGCTTACTTCACACAGCATAAGCTCTTGAGATTCATACATACTGCTTTTTGTATCAGTAGTTTGTTCTTTTATTGCTGAGTGCTATTCCATTTAAGGAATATACTGGCATTATTTACCCATTCTCCTGTTGATAGACATTTGGGTTGTTCCCAGTTTTTGCTATGTGAAAGAAAAACAGAAACTATGCCAAAGGGAAAGTTGAGCTTGGGAACTGAGTCACCAATACTGTCTTCCCTTTGTTCCCAAGCAGATAGCTGTAATTTCACAACCTATGTCATACTCTCACTTCCTCTAGTCCTTCTCTTCACTTGTTTACTTTATCTTACAAAAAAACATAGATTTACTGAGCGTGGAGGATGCATAATTGACTTTTCCCTCTATTTCCTCTTTTCACATGTAAAATGTAGATTCACTGAGGTTCATCAGAGCATCACAAGAATGTAACCATCTGCCTCATGGCCTGCCTCACTCCTTTTTCTCCTTCTCTTGCTTGCTCATTCCCCTTTAAATACCGAATTTCCAAAACCTCCTTTGGGAAAAAGCGTAAGTCACAGATGCTCCTACAATTTGTACTTTTTTCCCCAGGCATTTCTTCAACTTTGGCTAAATAAACCTCTAATCAACCGAGCCCTGACTCAGTCACATTTTGGTTAACAGCTACTAGGAATGAGGATAACATGAACACTTGTACAGGACTTTTATTCGACACGTTTTCATTTCTTTTAGGTAAATACTTAGGAGTGGAATTGCTGGGTCATAGGACAGATGCTGGTTTAACTTCTTAAAGAACTCCTAACACATCTCCAGATTATTGTACTGTTTTTGTTAAATATTAAGGCTCATTCAACAAATATTTATCAGGCAGCTATCATTTCCCAGACACTGCTACAAGTGTAAGCAGTAAGAAAAACAGAACAAAAATCTCTGCTGTAGGGGACAGCTACTTGGGGAAGATTCAATAAACAAATAAGCAAGTTAAATACAGAATGTCAAGTGGTGATAAGTGCTAAGGAGAAAAATGAAGTCCAAGGAGGGGAAGAAGCATCTGGCATGTGCTTTTTGCATGATTAACATTAGCTATTATCTTTTTTTAAAAAAAAAAAAAAAGAAGAAGAAGAAGAAACTGGATCTTGCTTCTTTTGTTACCCTGAAGTCAGATCATTGGATTTCACAATGGGGAAATGGTGACCTCAGCAAGAAGAGTTTTAGAGTTTTAGTGAATCACACGACCTCTTAATTGGTTTCGAGTCATTCTTGGCAGCTGACGCAAAAAATGGGCTGTAAACGATCATAGGTGAGTGTAGAGCTTTGGAGTCAGACAGTCTGGGCTCAAATTGTGACTTGGTCACTTACAGAGTGCCGTTGGGCAAGATATTACCTGCTCTCAGTCTCAATTTTGTTATTTTCAAATAAAGATAATGATAAGAATCCTAACCTCCTAGGGTTATAAAGTCAAAGGAAGATAATGTTTGTAAATTGCTTGGCACAAAGCCTAATAAACACTCATTTAACATTAGTTGTCATTATTTTAAAAAAGAGAGACTTGGGTTTGGTTTCTTATGTGACCTAATTGAGTACTTGATCCTCATAGCCTACATTTGACACAAGATGTCTGAGTATTCTCTGAAATATATATCTCATGGTCGCACCTGGCTTTGAGTTGCTGCAAGACCCTTTTGAGATCAATCATGTTTTATTTCCTGTGAGTTCTTTCTTTCTCTCCTCTGTTCTGACCCAGATGTGGAATTCACCTCTCTTTCCTTGATTTTCACCCAAAATCTTTATTTCACACAAAGCCATTGGGCAACCGATGAGGAAGATGAAGAATGGTTCAGTGTATGTGATAGCACCCAAAAGATCTTGAAACGCTTGCAAACACCATGAAATTGGGCATTTCCCACCATAGCCCACTCCTTCTGATACCATGCCATACTGCTCAGCCATCCTGTTTTTTTCTCCCTCTTTCTCTCCTCCCCTCTATTCTCAGCATTCCCCCATGCCAAAATCTATCTTTATTTCTCCAAAGGGCAGTTTAACTGTCTCATGTGTTTTCTTGTTTTCTGAAACTTCTGGTCTCAGAGTCCAACCTCTACCACCAAGCGTCTTGTTAAGAAAGACAATTTCTTCTCCTAGATAAGTTTTCATACCAGTTGTAACTTAGTCAACAACATATGGCACATGATAGCTCTTTCATCTTGGTTGTCCTCATGTGTGAGATGAGATGCATAATTTTGGTCAGAAATTGGCATTTCCTTATTATCTGTCCGAGGTTCCAAGCTTTCTCAGAACAGGTCATGTCTCAGATCCTCAACATGGTTTTCTGACCCATTCCGAAGAGACCTGGAGGTTTGTTGGACCCTGCTTATTCCTTTCCCTTCCCTCCCTCCCCTGGACTTGCCTGGGGCCGTTCTGGGATGTGGTGCCAGGTGTGTGAATATGGGCTCCTACAGCCTGGCACACTTTGCTCTCTAGAAAGTCAATTCTATTCCTGAACTGTGTTCTTGGGCTCTCCTTCTGAATCTCAGCTTGTTTCCCACATGTTTGTTTCACTAAGGAAGCCTTTGGGGTTTTCTTTATGCCTTTTTAGCAAACTGTATTCTGTTCTTTTGCTATTTTGCATTTGGAATTATGCCATGAATTATGCAGATTAATTGTTCTTCTTTTACTTTACATCTCTGTAATTGCTAAGCTTTCTAATTTTATTTTCTTATAAAAATCCTCTTCCCTTAGCACCAAAAAAAGAGAGGAATACTTAGGTATAAATCTAACAAAATATGCACAAGACTTACAAGAGGGAAACTACAAAGATCTGATGAAGGAAATCAAAAAATTAAGCAAATGAAGAGAGATTTCATGTACATGTGTAGGAAGACTCAATATTGTCAAGATGTCAGTTCTTCCTAACTTGATCTATAGATTCAATGTAATCCCAATCAAAATCTCAGCAATTTAGTTGGTGGATGTAGACAACAAACTGATTCTGAAGTTTATATGGAAAGGCAAAAGATCCATGTCAGCTAACACGATATTGAGGAAGAAGAACAAAGTCAGAGGATAGATACTCCCTGGCTTCCAGACTTACTATAAAGCTACAGCAATCAAGACAGTGTGGTATTGGCAAAAGAATAGACAAACAGATCAATGAAACAGATTTAGCAGTGGAACAGACTACAGAGCTCAGAAATAGACCCACACACATATAGTCAACAAATTTTGACAAAGGAGCAAAGGCAGTGCAGTGGAGAAAGGCTAGTCTTTTCATCTAATGGTGCTGGAACGACTGGACCTCTACTTGCAAATCAATGAATCTAGACATAGGCCTTACACGCTTCATAAAAATTAACTAAAAATGGATCATAGATCCAAATGTAAAGCACAAAATTATAAAGCTTCTAGAAGATAACATAGGAGAAAATGTAGTTGGTTTTGCGTTTAGCAATGGCTTTTTAGAACAAAAAGCACAATCAATAAAAGAAAAAAATGATAAGTTGTGCTTCATTAAATTAAAAACTCTTGTGCTGCAAAAGACACTATCAAGCAAATGAAAGACAGGCTACAGACTTAAAAAAAATTTCAAACACATCTGTGGCTCGCTCCTGTAATCCCAGCATTTTGGGAGGCTGAGGAAGACAGATCACTTGAGGCCAGGAGGTCAAGGCCAGCCTGGCAAACATGGCGAAACCCCGTCTCTACTAAAAAATACAAAAATTAGCCAGGTATCATGGTACATGCCTGTAATCATAGCTATTTGGGAGACTCAGGTGTAAGAATCACTTGAACCAGGGAGGTGGAGGTTGCAGTGAGCTGAGATTGCACCATTGCACTACAGCCTGGGTGACAGGGTGAGATTCTGTCTGAAAAAACAAACAAACAACAAAAAACCCTCACTTATATCTAAAACAAATAATATCCAGAATATACAAACTCTACTATAAGAAAACAATAAACTCAATTTTAAAAATAAGTGAAAGATCTGCAGAGACGCTTCATCAGAGAAGATATATTGATGGCAAACATGCACATCAAAGATTATCAACATCATATGTCACTGGAGATTTTAAATTAGAGCAACCATGAGATACTACTATTGTGGTACAATAAGAAATAAATTTGGTCTTTGTCCCCAGTTTCTGGCACAGAGCTTCTAAAACCCTCGAAATTCTTGAGTGATAAGAATGTCATTTGTTATTTATAAAAAGTCCCTTTTGATCATGCCTGGGTTTATAATGAGGTACCTAAGGGTAGAGCCCCTAGATAGCCTCAGGATGGGGCTGGTCACCAGAAAGACCAAGTGATTAGAAGGTTAGAACTGTCAACCCCTTACGCTGACTTCTGGGAAGTTGCAAGGGGAGTAGGGGAGGGACTGGAGATTAGGCTCTATACAAACTTTTGAGCATGAGATTTGATCAACTGCCAGGTTGATGCATATATCAAGGTGCTTGGGAGGCTTCCATGCCTGGAGAGGGCATGGAAGCTCTTTACACCTTCCCCTCCATCCCCCATAACTTGCCCTATGGCTATTTCTGTGTTGTATCCTTTATGATAAGCCAGTAAACATAAGCCAAGTGTTTCTCTAAATTAGAATGACCAAATAAGCCATTCTAGCAGGTTAATGAACCTGAGGAGAGGATTGTGGGAACCCCATGAATTTATAGCTAGTCAGTCAGAAGGCCAAGTGTTTGGGGACTTGCAATTGGCTTCTGAAGTGGGGGCAGCCTTGTGGGACTGAGCCCTTAACTTGTGGGTGTGATATTAACTTCAGGTAGATAGTGTCAAGATTTAATTGAATTTTTGTGTGGAAAAAAACCCACCTCTGGGGTCAGAAGTGAATGTTGTGTGAGTATAGAGAAACAGTTTTTGTTCTCAGAATTACACACCTATTAGAATGGCTAAAATCCAAAACACCGACAGCATCAAATGCTGGCAAGGATGTGGTGCAACAGGAATGCTCATTCATTGCTGGTGGAAATGCAAAACAATACAACCACTTTGAAAAAACAGTTTATTGGTTTCTTACAAAGTAAACATACTCTTGCTATATAATCCAGGGATCATGCTCCTTGGTATTTACCTAAATGAGTTGAAAACATGTCCACACAAGAACAACAAAATATGCAACACAAGGAGCCTAACCTATTGTAAACTTTGAGCCTTAGTTAATAGTGACGTATCCATGTTGGCTCACCAATTGTAACAAGTGTACCATACTAATGCAAGATGTAAATAATAGGGGAAAGTCTGTTTCAGAGTGCACAAGGCATTATACAGGAATGCTTCACTTTGTGCTCAATTTTTCTGCTAACCTAAAACTGCTCTGTAATAGTTTGCTAGGGCTGCTGCAGCCATGTACCTGGGTTGCTTCAAACAGAAATTTACTGCCTCCCAGTTCTGGAGGCTAGCAGTCCAAAATCAAGGTGTTGGCAGGGCCTGGGTCCCTCAGGGACTCTGGGTAGAGTCCTTTCTTGCCTCTTCCCAGCTTGCGGAGGTGGCTGGCCGTCCTTGACATTCCTTGGCTGACAGCTACATCATCCCTCTTAGGCTCTGTCATCACAGAATTATCTTCCCGTTGCCTTCCTTCTGCGCATGTCTGTGTCTGTGTCCAAATTTGCCCTTTTTAAAGAACGCCAGTCATTACTGTATTAGGGCTTACCCTAATGCCCTTATCTTAACTTGATCATGTACAAAGACTCCATTTTCAAATGGGGTCACATTCATAGGTACCAGGACCTTCCACATATCTTTGGGGGAGGGGACACAATTCAACCCATCACATGCTTTAAAAAATAAAGTATATTAATTTTTTAAAAATCCTCTTTTCTCCTCTGATAGAAGGAAGATAGGGAGAGATACAAAGACATGAATTTCTAGACTTCAGCTTAATTCTCTGTTGTAGATAGAAGACTAGTAATAACTATAAATTCTAAGACTTGATGGTGTTAATAATATGATTTTATTTCATTCTCAGTACTCTGTTGAAGTAGGAGAAACATTTAAATTGAAAGAAAAAGGATGTCATTCTTTTATATGACATATCTAAAAAGGGAAGAACACCTCCAAATAGAGTTACAATGGGTATCGATGTCTAGAAAGCAGCAAATTAAACTTGTAGAGTTGATGGCAATTCTTTATGTTTAATGGCATTAAGGTAAAGATGTCAGAATTTAGGGGAGAGAGGAATACAGTTTGTGACTGTGGACATTATTACACGAAGACTATAGCTGGTTAGCTCCTTTGGTTCAAATAGTGTACTAATGCGAAAGCAATCTCAGATTTCCTTCAAAGTCAGAAATGTCCCTCTGTTCCAAGCTGTAAGCTGTGATCTGGACTCCAGCCATGTCTCTATCTCATCCGCTGAAGCAGTGGCACTAGGACAATACAAATTTATCCCTGCCAGAGACCATGGAAGCCTGCTGCTCAATATCCATTCTCCCCTTCTCCTTAAATAATCGAACACTAATGTTTTTCAAGAGACAATGTGCCAAGTTAAAAAAAACATTCATCTCCATTGACTCACTTGTAGCTGGAGACAGGAAACCTAATACCACTCGAGTCAGGATTAGAAGTCCCTGAAAAGAGCTTCAAAACAGACAAAGCTTCCCAAGAATTGGGTGCTTTCCTTCTTCCTTCCTAGACGTGGAATACACACGGATACAGTATCTGGAGATGTAGCAGCTGGCTCTTGACCATAATGGTGGGAGTCTCACTGTAAGGACGATGGAGGAACAGAAAGATAGAAGAAGTTTGGGGTGCTGATGAAATTGTGGGGCTGCTGTCCCCTCTCCCCAGACTCCACTTTTTTTTTTTCTTGCAGTTTTATTTGTTGAAGAAACTGGGCCATTTGGCCTTTATGATGTACCTTGGTTTGGATTTAGCTAATTGCATCTCTGTGGTATTGGTTAATATGTTCTTCTGTCTCTGTTTTTCCTGTCAATTGATAGCTAGCTCTTAAGGCCTGTTCAGATTTAAGTTTGCCATTTTGTTGATGGGGTGGGAGGAATAACTTGACAGGTAGTCACAGAATACTTCCATCACAAGGCACGTAATATCTGGTTGTGTCTTTTTGTGATGTTAGCAACCACTGATGCTCATTAGGGTCTCCAAAAATAAGATATTCTAATTTTTTATTCCTTCACGTATAAATAGTAATAAAGGGAAACTTTTTCACATCAACTATTTGGTTGTTTTGAGGAAGAGGTTATTCATCACCTTTCAAATTAATGAGTTCCTAGTATCCTTAAAGGTGACCAAGGAAGGGGTTTTCCTATGTTCATTTGTGTGTGTTTTTTTAATCACTAATAGCTCATGAATTTAATATATGTGCTGTGTTTAAATCCCTAGTTGTTATTATATTTGGTAATGCTCAAATTGTTCCTTTGTTTGGCCCCTGGGGGTTTGTGCAGTTCGCTCCTGAGTCCCTTTTATGCAAACCCAGCTGTCTTTGACAGCTTTCTTGCTGTTGGCTGCCAACTTGTAAATTTCCTGGCCCAGAACTAGAATTACCCATCACCAAGGAGCTCTGGTTCTTGCTGGTCCAAAATGATATTTAAAGACCTCATTCTGGTGTTTGCAGCACTGATTGCTCATGGGTGGTCATTGGCTCAAGACCTTTTCAATGGACAAATCTAAGACTGTAAAAGATTAAATATTAAGTATGTTGCGAGTTAATTAACTTTGATTTTACATTTGACAGTGAAATCTTAGTTCCCAACCACATCTACATAGTTGCTTATTTGCTCGCTCTCTCTCTCTCTCAATTATCTATATTTGTTTTGGAGTGCCAATAGCAATATTTTTATTAGCCATGTGACTACATATTTTAGAGTTATTTTTTATTTATTTGTTTCTTTTGAGACGGAATCTTGCTCTGTCGCCCAGGCTGGAGTGCAGTGGCGCGATCTCGGCTCACTGCAAGCTCCGCCTCCCGGGTTCATGCCATTCTCCTGCCTCAGCCTCCCGAGTGGCTGGGACTACAGGGGCCTGCCACCACGCCTGGCTAATGTTTTGTATTTTTAGTAGAGACGGGGTTTCACCATGTTAGCCAGGATGGTCTCCATCTCCTGCCCTCGTGATCCGCCCGCCACAGCCTCCCAAAGTGCTGGGATTACAGGCTTGAGCCACCGCGCCCGGCCTGTTCTTAGGAAACATTTCTTTAGAAATGCACCATCAAATTACGTTTTAAAGTCAATTAGCATAATTTTTTCTAAGGATAATTTTTTTTCTATCTGGTTATACCAACAACTCAATATACAGTTAAATTTGTTTTATTTTGCTTTTGATTTCTAGGAATTATTTAATTTTGTTTCATAATTATGTAAAACGTTTCCACATTTTCAAAATCAAATCTACAAAACAACTTGTATTCAGAGAGGTCTAGTTTTCATTTTTCTTTTCCTCCTGTTCCTTTCCTTAGAGTTAACCCCTCTATTTTAGTTTCTAAATTTATCTTTCTTGTTTTACTTGAATGTAAGCTAACATATCTATGTAGTCATATCCACACAATGGTAGCATAATATACACACTTTTTTCCACCTTGTTTTTAGAAGGGTATGAAGACACATTTCATAGCAGGGTATAAACGCATATCTCATTTTTTTTTTTTTTTTTTTGAGATGGAGTCTCGCTCTGCCACCCAGGCTAGAGTGCAGTGGCGCAGTCTTGGCTCACTGCAACCTCGGCCTCCAGGGCTCAAGCAATCCTCCCACCTCAGCCTCTTGGGTAGCTAAGATTACAGGCATGTGCCACCGCGCCTGGCTAATTTTTTTGTATTTTTAGTAGAGACGGGGTTTCACCATGTTGGCCAGACTGGTATCAAACTCCTGACCTCAAGTGATTCTCCCACCTGGGCCTCCCAGAGTGCTGAGATTACAGATGTGCACCACCACACCCAGCCCTCATTCCTTTGTGTGTGTGTGTGTGTGTTGTGTGTGTGTGTGTGTGTGTGTGTGTTTGAGATGAAGTCTCGCTCTGTCGCCCAGGCTGGAGTGCAGTGGTGCGATCTTGGCTCACTGCAACCTCCACCTCCTGGGTTCAAGCAATTCTCCTGCCCCAGCTTCCCGAGTAGCTAGGATTACAGGTGCATGCTACCACGCCCGACTAATTTTTTGTATTTTTAGTAGAGACGGGATCCTCACCTCATGATCCACCTGCCTTGGCCTCCCAAAGTGCTGGGTATTACAGGCATGAGCCACCGCACCAGGCCCCTCATTTCTTTTTTAATGGCAAGTACTCAATGATGCGGATATGCCATATGCAACCAGTTTATTCAACCAGCTTCCTGCTGATGGACAATTGTGTTATTTCCATTCTTTTGCAAATAATGCTGTAATGAATAGTCTTGTGCATACTTCTTTTCATTTTGCTAGGTTATCATTGACATATAGATTCTGATAAAAACAGGATTTCTGGTTGAAAGGGTAAATGCATGTGTAATTTTGCACATGCAAAATTAAAATGTCCCTCACCATTGGGAAATTTTGTATACTAATTTTATTCAGCAATCCCTTAACTCTCTTATTAGTTAAAATAATTTATCTGTGGTTTCTTTTACATTTCCTACTTATACAATTGTATTATAGCAAAAATGACAGTTTTGTTTCCCCTTTTACGTATTTATATCTTTCCTTTTGCTTGCCTTATTGCTTGTTCTAGCAATCCAGTAAAATATTGAATGGAAGTGGGCCATTTAAATTTACCTTTCTTGTTTTATTTGAATGTAAGCATTCATTCATATATAAGCATGTCATATCTATATAGTCATATCCACACAATGATAGCATAATATACATAAGTTTTTCCACCTTGCTTTTAGAAGGATATGAAGACATATTTCACAGTAAAATGTTGAACGGAAAGCTAACTACTTTTGTCTTGCTCCTAATCTTAAAGGGAATGTTTTCAACATTTTGCCATTAGATATGACGTTTGTTATTTATTAGGTTGTGACAGTTCCCTTCTCTTTATAGTGTGCTAAGAGATTTTATCATGATTAGACATGGAACTTCCTCAAGTGCTTTTCTGTATCTGTTAATATGATTTTTAAACTTTTGATCTGTTACTGTGAATTTCATAAATCACTTTTCTAATATTAAACTAACCTTTTATTCTGAGAATTAACCATTAATTGGTCATGACGGTCATGATGTATTCATCTTTTTATATATTGCTAAATTTCATTTGTTTTGTTGAGGATTTTTGCATCTATGCTCACAGGTGAGATTGACCTACAATTTTACTTTCTCATATTGTTCTTTATTGGATTTTTGGTATCAAAGTCAGGCCCACCTCGCAAAGTGAATGGAGATTTTTTTCCCTTTTTTAATGATTTGGCAGAGTTGTAGTAAGATTGAAATTCTTTTTTTTCTGTATGTTTGGTGAAACTGCTGGTGAAGCCAACTGGGACTAGTGTTTTCTTTGAGGAAGACTTTTCAACAACTGATTCAATCTCCTCAATCATTTTAAGACTCTTCATATTTTCTATTTCTTCTTGATAAACTGTATTTAAAAAATATTTGCGGCCAGGCGCGGTGGCTCACGCCTGTAATCCCAGCGCTTTGGGAGGCCGAGGCGGGCGGATCACGAGGTCAGGAGATCGAGACCATCCTGGCTAACATGGTGAAACCCCCGTCTCTACTAAAAATACAAAAAATTAGCTGGGCGCGGTGGCGGGCACCTGTAGTCCCAGCTACTCGGGAGGCTGAGGCAGGAGAATGGTGTGAACCCAGGAGGCGGAGCTTGCAGTGAGCCGAGATCGCGCCATAGTACTCCAGCCTGGAGACAGAGCAAGACTCTGTCTCAAAAAAAAAAAAAAAAAAAAAAAAAAAAAAAAAAAAAAGAATATTCTCTTATTATATTGTCTCAGCAGTGTCTGTAGTTGTGTTGTCCTTTTTTTTCTAACTTACTTCACTAGAGCCTTCCTTTCCTTTTCTCCCTCCCTCCTTTCTTTCTTTCTTTTCTTCCTTCCTTCCTTCTTTCTTTCCTTCCTTTCTTTCTTTCTCTTTCTTTCTTCCTTTCTCTTTCTCTCTTTCTCCCTTTCTCTCTCTCTCTTTCTTTCTTCCTTTCTTTCTTTCCTTCTCTCTCCCTTCCTTCCTTCTCTCCTTCCTTCCTTCCCTTAGTAAATATCAACAGAGATTTTCTACTGATTAAACTGTTTCAAACAACTAACTTTTGGTTTTATGGTTCCTTTCTAAGGCACATTTGTTTTCTTTATCATTACTGTCTGCTTTATCATTCTTTCCTTCTACTTTCTTTTAAAAATTTTGTGTAAATTTTTGGGGTGCAAATATAATTTTGTCACATGGATTTATTGCATAATGATGAAGTCAGGGCTTTTATGGTATCCATCACTCAAAAAATGTGCATTGTACCTATTGAGTCATATCTCATTATCCACCCCGCCCCTTCTGAGTCTCTACTGTCTGTCATTCCACACTCACATCTATGTATACACATTATGTAGCTCCCACTTCTAAATGTGAACATGTGATATTTGTCTTTGTATTCAACTTGTTTCACTTAAAAAGTAATGGCCTCCCATTCCATCCATGATGCTGCAAAAGACATGACCTCATCTTTTTTATGGCTAAATAGTATTCCATTGTGTATATATATCACATTTTTTTAATCTAATCACCCATTGATGGACACTGAAGTCAATTCCATATCTTTGCTATTGTGAATAGTGCTATGATAACTTTTTTTCTACTTTCTATGGATGTATTCTGCTGTGCTCTTTTTCTTAAAGTTAAGTTGTATGCTTGTCTCCTTATTTTAGACATTCTTTTTTCTAGTTAATACTTAAGTTAATAGAGTACTGTTTTTGCTGTCTCACAAGTTTGATATGTATTATTTTTATCATTATTTATGTCAATATTTTATCATTTCTTTTTTTTTAATTGGACAAGGGAGTGGCTCAGAAGTCTATTTTGGACACCAAAATATCATGTTGTATACCATAAATATACACAATTTCTTTTTTTAAAGAAGCCTGTTTTTAATGTCTAAATGTATAGTTTTCTCTGGGTGCTTCTTATTGTTGTTAATATTCTCTAATATAATTGCATGTGCTCAAAGAAAGTGTTCCCGTAAAATGCAATCTCAAAAGTTGATGGGAATAGCGTTATAACCTAGGAGAAGGTGAATTTTCACAGGAATTCTGTATGTCTATTTTGCGACTTCTTAAAATGTTCATTTTACTTCTTTTTAACTTTTTTATTATACTTTAAGTTCTAGGACACGTGCAGAACATGCAGGTTTGTTACATAGGTATACATGTG
Organism: Homo sapiens; assembly: GCF_000001405.40. Taxonomy (NCBI): domain Eukaryota; kingdom Metazoa; phylum Chordata; class Mammalia; order Primates; family Hominidae; genus Homo; species Homo sapiens. The sequence continues at coordinate 230,470,711 of NC_000001.11, forward strand.
TCATGGTTGTTTGCTGCACCCATCAACCTGTCATCTATATTAGGTATTTCTCCTAATGCTATCCCTCCTCTAGCCCCTCATCCTCCAACAGGCCCTGGTGTGTGATGTTTCCCTCCCTGTGTCCATGTGTTCTCATTGTCCAACTCCCACTTATGAGAGACAACATGTGGCATTTGGTTTTCTGTTCCTGTGTTAGTTTGCTGAGAATGATGGCTTCCAGCTTCAACCATGTCCCTGCAAAGGACATGAACTCATCCTTTTTTATGGCTGCATACTATTCCGTGGTGTATATGTGCCACATTTTCTGTATCCAGTCTATCACTGATGGACATCTGGGTTGGTTCCAAGTCTTTGCTATTGTGAATAGTGCTGCAATAAACATACCTTTGCATGTGTCTTTATAGTACAATGATTTATAATCCTTTGGGTATATACCCAGTAATGGGATGGCTGGGTCAAATGGTATTTCTGGTTCTAGATCCTTGAGGAATCACCACACTGTCTTCCACAATGGTTGAGCTAATTTACACTCCCACCAACAGTGTAAAAGCATTCCTATTTCTTCCCATCCTCCCCCACATCTGTTGTTTCCAGACATTTTAATGATCGCCATTCTAACTGGCATCAGATGGTATCTCATTGTGGTTTTGATTTGCATTTCTCTAATGAACAGTGATGATGAGCTTTTTAAAAGATGTTTGTTGGTCACATAAATGTCTTCTTTGGAGAAGTGTCAGTTCATGTCCTTCACCCACTTTTTGATGGGGTTGTTTGATTTTTTTCTTGTAAATTTGTTTAGGTTCCTTGTAGATTCTGAATATTAGCCCTCTGTCAGATGGATAGATTGCAAAAATTGTCTCCTATTCTGTAGGTTGCCTGTTCACTCTGATGATATTTTCTTTTGCTGTGAAGAAGCTCTTTAGTTTAAATAGATTCCATTTGTCAATTTTGGCTTTTGTTGCCATTGCTTTTAGTGTTTTAGTCATGAAGTCTTTGCCCATGCCTGTGTCCTGAAGGGTATTGCCTAGGTTTTCTTCTAGAGTTTTTATGGTTTTAGGTCTTACATTTAAGTCTTTAATCCACCTTGAGTTAGTTTTTGTATAAGGTGTAAGGAAGAGGATCCAGTTTCAGTTTTCTGCATATGGATAGCCAGTTTTCTCAACACCATTTACTAAATAGGGAATCCTTTCCCTGTTGCTAGTTTTTGTCAGGTTTGTCAAAGATCAGATGGTTGATCTTTGACAGATGTGTGGCATTATTTCTGAGGCCTCTGTTGTGTTCCATTAGTCTATATATCTGTTTTGGTACCAGTACCATGCTGTTTTGGTTACTGTAGCCTTGTAGTATAGTTTGAAGTCAGGTAGCATGATGCCTCCAGCTTTGTTCTTTTTGCTTAGGATTATCTTGGCTATATGGGCTCTTTCTTGGTTACATATGAAATTTAAAGTAGTTTTTTCTAATTCTGTGAAGAAAGTCAGTGGTAGCTTGATGGGGATAGCATTGAATCTATAAATTACTTTGGGCAGTGTGGCCATTTTCCAAATATTGATTCTTCCTATCCATGAGCATGTAATGTTTTTCCATTTGTTTGTGTCTTCTCTTATTTCCTTGAGCAGTGGTTTGTAGTTCTCCTTGAAGAGGTCTTTCAATCCCCTGTAAGTTGTATTCCCAGGTATTTTATTCTCTTTGTAGCACTTGTGAATGGGAGTTCACTCATGATTTGGCTCTCTGTTCATCTATTATTGGTGTATTGCAATAGTTGTGATTTATGCACATTGATTTTGTATCCTGAGACTTTGCTGAAGTTGCTTATCAGCTTAAGGAGATTTTGGGCTGAGACAATGGGGTTTTCTAAATATACAATCATGTCATCTGCAAACAGACACAATTTGACTTTCTCTCTTCCTATTTGAATACCCTATATTTTTTTCTCCTGCCTGATTGCCCTGGCCAGGACTACCAATACTGTGTTGAATAGGAGTGGCAAGAGAGGGCATCCTTGTCTTGTGCCGATTTTCAAAGGGAACGCTTCCAGCTTTTGCCCATTCAGTATGATATTGACTGTGGGTTTGTCATAAATAGCTCTTATTATTTTGAGATACGTTCCGTTAATACCTAGTTTATTGAGAGTTTTTAGCATGAAGGTGTGTTGAATTGTATCGAAGGCCTTTTCTGCATTTGTTGAGATAATCATGTGGTTTTTGTCATTGGTTCTGTTTATGTGATAGATTAGGTTTATTGATTTGTGCGTGTTGAACCAGCCTTGCATCTCAGGGATGAAGCTGACTTGATCGTGGTAGATAAGTTTTTTGATGTGTTGCTGGATTTGGTTTGTCAGTATTTTATTGAGGATTTTTGCATTGCTGTTCATCAGGGATATTGGCCTGAAATTTTCTTTTTTTGTTGTGTCTCTTCCAGGTTTTGATATCAGGATGATGCTGGCTTTATAAAATGAGTTAGAGAGGAGTCCCTCTTTTTCTATTGTTTGAAATAGTTTCAGAAGGAATGGTACCAGCTCCTCTTTGTACCTCTGGTAGAATTTGGCTGTGAATCTGTCTGGTCCTGGACATTTTTTGGTTGGTAGGCTATTACTTATTGCCTCAATTTCAGAACTTGTTATTGGTCTATTCAGAGATTTGATTTCTTCCTGGTTTAGTCTTGGGAGGGTGTATGTGTCCAGGAATTTATCCATTTCTAAATTTTCTAGTTTATTTGGATAGAGGTGTTTATAGTATTCTCTGATGGTAGTTTGTATTTCTGTGGGATTGGTGGTGATATCCCCTTTACCATTTTTTATTGTGTCTATTTGATTTTTCTCTCTGTTCTTCTTTATGAGTCTGGCTAGCAGTCTATTTTGTTAATCTTTTCAAAAAACCACCTCCTGGATTCATTGATTTTTTGAAGGTTTTTTTTTGTCTCTATCTCCTTCAGTTTTGCTCTGATTTTATTTATTTCTTGTCTTCTGCTAGCTTTTGAATTTGTTTGCTCTTGCTTCTCTAGTTCTTTTAATTGTGATGTTAGGGTGTCAATTTTAGATCTTTCCTGCTTTCTCCTGTGAGCATTTAGTGCTATAAATTTCCTTCTAAACACTGCTTTAACTGTGTCCCAGAGATTCTGGTGTGTTATGTCTTTGTTCTCTTTGGTTTCACAGAACTTATTTATTTCTTCCTTAATTTCATTATTTACCCTGTAGTCATTCAGGAGCAGGATGTGCAGTTTCTATGTAGTTGTGTGGTTTTGAGTGAGTTTCTTAATCCCGAGTTCTAATTTCATTGCACTGTGGTCTGAGAGACTGTTATGATTTCCATTCTTTTGCATTTGCTGACGAGTATTTTACTTTGTATTATGTGGTCAATTTTAGAGTAAGTGTGATGTGATGCTGAGAAGAATGTATATTCTATTGATTTGGGGTGGAGAGTTCTGTAGATGTCTATTAGGTCTGCTTGGTCCAGAGCTGAGTTCAAATCCTGAATATCTTTGCTAATTTTCTGCCTTGCTGATCTGTCTAATATTGACAGTGGGGTGTTAAAGTCTCCCACAATTATTGTGTGGGAGTTTAAATCTCTTCATAGGTCTCTAAGAACTTGCTTTATGAATCTGGGTGCTCCTGTATTTGGTGCATGTATATTGAAGATAGTTAGCTTTTCTTGTTGCATTGATCCCTTTACCATGACATAATGTCCTTATTTATCTTTTTGATCTTTGTTGGTTTAAAGCTGTTTTATCAGAGACTAGGATTGCAACCCCTGCTTTTTTTATTTCTATTTGCTTGGTAAATATTCCTCCATCTCTTTATTTTGAGCCTAGTGTGTCTTTGCATGTGAGATGGGTCTCCTAAACACAGCACATTGATGGGTCTTGATTCTTTATCCAATTTGCCAGTATGTGTCTTTTAATTGGGAGCATTTAGCCCATTTACATTTATGGTTAATATTGTTATGTGTGAATTTGATCCTGTCATTATGATGCTAGCTGATTTTTTTGCCCGTTAGTTGAAGCAGTTTCTTCATAGTGTTGATGGTCTGTATAATTTGGTATGTTTTTCCAGTGGCTGGTACCAGTTTTTCCTTTCCATATTTAGTGCTTCCTTCAGGAGTTCTTGTAAGGCAGGCCTGGTGGTGACAAAAGCTCTCAGCATTTTCTTCTCTGTAAAGGGTTTTATTTCTCTTTCACTTATGAAGCTTAGTTTGGCTGGATATGAAATTCTGGGTTGAAAATTCTTTTCTTTAAGAATGTTTAATATTGGCCCTCAGTCTCTTCTGACTTGTAGGATTTCTGCAGAGAGATCTGCTCTTAGTCTGATGGGTTTCCGTTTGTGGGTAACCCGACCTTTCTCTCTGGCTGCCCTTAACATTTTTTCCTTCATTTCAACCTTGGTGAGTCTGACGATTATATGTCTTGGGGTTCCTCTTCTCGAGGAGTATCTGTGGTGTTCTCTGTACTTCCTGAATTTGAATGTTGGCCTGTCTTGCTAGGTTGGGGAAGTTCCCCTGGATAATATCCTGAAGAGTGTTTTCCAACTTGGTTCCATTCTCCCTGTCACTTTCTGGTACACCAATCAAATGTAGATTTGGTCTTTTCGCTTAGTCCCATATTTCTTGGTGGCTTTGTTAATTTCTTTTTACTCTTTTTTCTCTAATCTTGTCTTCTCACTTCATTTCATTAAGTTGGTCTTCAGTCTCTGATATCTTTCTGCTTGATTGATTCAGCTATTGATACTTGTGTGTGCTTCACGAAGTTCTCATGTTGTGTTTTTCAGCTCCATCAGGTCATTTATGTTCTTCTCTAAACTGGTTATTCTAGTTAGCAATTCCTCTAATCTTTTTCAAGGTTCTTAGCTTCCTTGTGTTGGGTTAGAACATGCTCTTCTAGCTCAGAGGAGTTTGTTATTACCCACCTTCTGAAGCCTACTTCTGTCAGTTTGTCAAATTCATTCTTCGTCCAGTTTTGTTCCCTTGCTGGCAAGGAGCTGTGATCCTCTGGAGGAGAAGAGGCGTTCTGGTTTTTGGAATTTTCAACATTTTTGCACTGGTTTTTCCTCATCTTTGGGGATTTATCTACCTTTGGTCTTTGATGTTGGTGACCTTTGGATGGGGTTTCTGTGTGGACGTCCTTTTTGTTGATGTTGATGCTATTCCTTTCTGTTTGTTAGTTTTCCTTCTAAAAGTCAGGCCCCTCTGCTGCAGGTCTGCTGGAGTTTGCTGGAGGTCCACTCCAGACCTTGTTTGCCTGGGTATCACCAGTGGAGGCTGCAGAACAGCAAAGATTGCTGCCTGTTCCCTCCTCTGGAAGCTTCATCCCAGAGGCGCACCCATCAGATGCCAGCTGGAGCTCTCCTGTATGAGGTGTTTGTCGACCCCTGCTGGGAGATATCTCCTAGTCAAGAGGCACTGGGGTCAGGGACCCACTTGAGGAGGCAGTCTGTCCCTTAGCAGAGCTTGAGCGCTGTGCTGGGAGATCCACTGCTCTCTTCAGAGTCAGCAGGCAGGAACGTTTAAGTCTGCTGAAGCTCTGCCCACAGATGCCCCTTCCCCCAGGTGCTCTGTCCCAGGGAGCTGGGAGTTATCTGTAAGCCCCTAACTGGGGCTGCTGGCTTTCTTTCAGAGATGCCCTGCCCAGAGAGGAGGAATCTGGAAAGGCAGTCTGGCTACAGCGACTTTGCCGAGCTGAGGTGGGCTCTGTCCAGTTTGAACTTCCTGGCAGCTGCGTTTACACAGTCAGGGGAAAACCGCCTAATCAAGCCTCAGTAATGACAGACGCCCCTCCCCCCATCAAGCTCAAGCATCCCAGGTCGACTTCAGACTGTAGTGCTGGCAGCGAGAATTTCAAGCCAGTGGATCTTAGCTTGTTGGGCTCTGTGGGGGTGGGATCCGCTAAGCTAGACCACTTGGCTCCCTGGCTTCAGCCCCCTTTCCAAGGGAGTGAGCAGTTAGGTCTCACTGGCATTCCAGGCACCACTGGGGTATTAAAAAAAACTCCTGTAGCTAGCTCAGTGGCTGCCCAGTTTTGTGCTTGAAACCCAGGGCCCTCGTGGTGTAGGAACCCGAGGGAATCTCCTGGTCTGCGGGTTGCGAAGACGGTGAGAAAAGCATAGTATCTGGGCGGGAATGCACAGTTCCTCACGTGCACAATCCCTCACGGCTTCCCTCGGCTAGGGGAGCGAGTTCCCCGACCCCTTCTCTTCCTGGGTGAGGCGACGCCCCACCCTGCTTCAGGGTGCACCCACCGTGTAACCAGTCCCAGTGAGATGAGCCTGGTACCTCAGTTGGAAATGCAGAAATCACCCTCCTTCTGCATTTATCTCGCTGGGAGCTGTAGACCGGAGCTGTTCCTATTCTGCTATCTTGTCAGCCACCTCCCTGTATGTCTTTTAAAAGGATGTTTTCTCTAGTTTTGAGGTATAATGTTTCTCTCTCTCTATCAACAAGGTTGTTAAATCTTGTGAAATGTGCTGTTCAAATATTCTATGTACTTATTAACATCTGATTTACTTGATTTATCAATTACAATAATCTACAAAGAGATTTTTAAATATCCCATTTTTGAGACAAATTTTCATATTTTTTTCTTCCAGATACATCAATTTTTGCTTTATGTATTTTGAAGTTAAACGTTAAGGTCCTACAAGTTCATTTTTATGGATTGTACCTTTTATCATTATCTCTAGTAAAATCTCTAGCAAAACTTATTTTCTTTAATGTCTATTTGTCAGCTTTAGGGGGATAATATTCACCTTGCATATGTATCTCCACTCATTGGCTTTCAATAACTTGAGATCTTTATGTTTTAGGTATACCTCTTGTAATAGGTATATGCATAGAATGCTTTTAACCCAATCTAATACCTGCTTCCAACTATAGAATTTAGTCCATTTACATTAATATAGTTGCCAATGTACCAGATTTGGATTCTTTACTATAATTTTATCATATGCTTCTGTTCATCCACTTTTTTCTATTTGTGTTTTCTTTGGCCTTTTCTTGATGTCTTTTGGACTGACTGAGGGTCTTCTCCTCCACATACTGGCAATTCCATTTCTTCTTTCTACTTTGTTTGGAAATCATATTTTCATTCTTGTAAAGGAACTCTGTTGTGTGGATGTTTCATAGGGTATTCAACTAGTCATCTACTTACTACTGAACATATGGGCTGTTTTTGGCCTTTTGCTATTATTCATACTACTGCAATAAAGAGGCATTTGCTATTTCTATTCTTTTTAGAGCAGTTTCTAGCCTCATCATAGCTGTACTAGATCTTCCAATATATACTTTTAGCTTATAAAGACTAAAGCAGCATCTTTAACCTCCTCTTGAACAGCAGAACCTTAGAAAACTTTAATAATAATTAACATCCCTTCAAATTACATTCTATGTTATCCGGAATTTTAATAATAGACTATTTTTGACCTATAAATTAGATATTATTAATATTGCTTTGTATTATAGGTGTACATATTCACCAATTTCTTTGCTTATCTTTCTTTCTTACATAACAAGCCTTTCATATGCTCATTTTGGAACTCGTTTAGTTCCTTGGACCTGAAAACCGGTGTCCTTCCACAATTCTAAAAAAATTCTTAGAATCTTTTAAAATATGACCCATTCTCCCTGTCTCCTGCTGGTACTTTTTGTTAAGAAAGTACTGTGCTATAGCTTATCATTTTAGCCTCTGTTTTCTATTCCATCTTTCATGTTTTGTTTTCCTTTATCTTTCTAAACTGCATTCTGAAAAATATTTTTGGCCTATCTTCAAGTTCATTAAATTTCTCTCTAGCCTTATCTAATCTGCTGGTTAATCCATCCACTGAGTTTTCATTTTTCTTTATTGCTTTTTAAATCTTAGCAGTTCTATTTGGTTTTTAAATATCTTCATGGTCATTATGTGAAATCTATTTTCTAGCTCATATTTTCAAGTTCTTTCTGAGGACTTGTTTCAGCTCTCTGGAGCTGCTGATTCTCACACACAGTACCTTATTTCCTTACAGGTTTTGGTGTTGGTGCTGTGAGTGGCTAATTTCCTTGGATCCAGTGGCTGGATTTCCTCAGATTCTTAGAAGCTGGCTTGACATTGAAGTCTAGCAAAGAGAATTCACGTCTGCTTTTCACAGCATCCTAGAGGTGTTACCAACCTAGAACCACTTTGAATATATTTATCTATTTGTGATTTTTGGTGGTTGCAGAGGTTATGTGAATTTGGACCAAAAACTCTTGTAATATCTTAATTATGTATTCTCAGAGTAATTTTTTTGTTGTTGTTATTGTTTAGCACCAAGTCTAGCTAGGTAAGTTTCCTGGCTTTACTTTCTGCCCACTAGGGTTTATTTTTAGTTCACCCTAATACTTAAATTATAGCTCTTTGGGGTCTCAGGGTTATGCAGGTATTTTGCATCAGGTTCTTCACTGGGGTGGGCCCTAGGATTTTAATCCTGCCTTCCATGCCTATGTTGTCCTCAAAGCAGAAGCTCAAGTATTCCAGTTTTCAGCAGAAACCTTCAAGGTGAAAGCTAACTTTGCATTTGTCTGAGTCCCAAGGGTCCTGGTTATGCCTTGTTTTGTGTCTCTGTGGATTTCTTACCTCGGTTCCATGCAGCAATGCATTTTAAAGGAAAAATGTAGTGTTTATTCAACAATGCAGTTATTTCAATCAGAAGGGTTGTTCAGGACACCTAAATTGCCTTACTGACAGAAACAAGAATTTAGCCTTTGATTTTGATGGAAGGTCTTTGTGACTCAATGACTAAACCCAAGCAACTCTACAATGGCCCTTGGAACACTACTCATGCTTCACCTCCCTCCACGACAGGTGCCTTACACGAAAACCAAAACACTAAACTGCCATTTTTTTTGCAAATTACAAATGTTGGCGTTTCTGGTATGTTGCCTGTCACAAGTGAAGGATATGTTTTTCTAAGAGATTCTCTTGAGGAAAGAGTGGATTACTGTTGTGTAAAGGTTAAGATAACCAGATAAAACTGCTCCAGCTTAAAGATGAACTCTTCAGGACCATTTCAAAATGTTGCAAAGAGAATAACATCCAGGTTTATAATGAGCCCTCAAAGCAGCACTGCAGCTGCCAAGAATAGTTCAGAGCATGTTGAACCCTACAGTTTCCCTCTCTCCTGAGGCTCCATATTGCAGCCATTCACAACTGGAAGAGCACTATTTATTCAGCCCTCAAAATTATGAGAACCAAAATGGATTGCGCTCATTTGAAATGCAGATGTGACTGCACTGTAATTACAATTGCCCCTGTGATTTTTGCTATGAAGCAAAAAGCCATCAAACAGAGATGAGAAAGATCTGGGCACAACAACAGGGAAATACTTTGGTCCTGGATTGAAGTAAATTTTAAAGTGCACACAAAGAAAAGGGAGAAATATCCCAGGGTCAAACTTGGCTGACATCACATTTTTTTCTCTTATTTGAATTAAATATCTTGCTTTGGACCCCATGAAGGTATGTTCCTCACTAAACATAGAGGAAAAAGAAGGGGAAATGTTCACTATCCTGTAGACAGTGTCTCATTAAAAAAAAAAAAAAAAAAAACTAATATTTCTGAAGGATTCTTAGAGGCACATGGAAAAAGGCCTTTGCTTAAGTGACAAAGCCACATCTCCTTTTTAGGAAACACGGTCTACTTAAATGAGGTGCCAAAGATATAATATCACACCGTCTTATCCTAAAAATACCCACACACATACTGCATCTCACATTGCACACTCACTGTGGTCATTTCTTAGATGTACACACAATATTACTGTTAGAGATGTCTTTAGGAGGCAATGATAGCATCACTTTTCCTGAGCCTTTTCATAGCGTAGTGGAAAGACTGAGTTCAAATTCTTGGGGTTGAAATTTTGAGTTCACTTACCAGTTGTGACATCTTGGATAAATTACTACTTAACTTTTCTCCTTGTCAGTTCAGTCCACTTCTCTACATAGTGGCCATAATGATGCCTATAACATGAGATGTTGTAAGGCTCCCTGCATGTAAAAATAAGACATATACAAATGTTGGTTGAGATTATCATTAGGCATAAAGCACTATCTATTGATTTATCTATCATCTCTCATAGCTAAGTGAGTTTTAGAAATGGAATGTAGCATGTACAATAGGAGAAATCCCATGTCTGGAGTGGATAGACCCAAAATGCACTCTCCTCCTCTTTACTTTTTGTTTTGTTTTGTTTTGTTTTAGAGACAGGATCTAGCTATGTCGCCCAAGCTGGAGTGCATTGGTGTGATCAGGACTCACTGCAGCCTCAAACTCCCAGGCTCAAGTGATCCTCCTCCCTCAGCCTTCTGAGTATCTGGGATTACAGGTGTATGCTACCATACCCAGATAATTTTTAAATTTTTCTGTAGAGACAGGTTCTTACTGTGTTACCCAGGCTGATCTCGAACTCTTGACCTTAAGCCATCCTCCAGCTTTGGTCTCTCAAATTGCTGAGATTATGGGCATGAGCCTCTGTACCTGGTCCTCTTTTAATCTTTATCCTACTGACACGTCCTGCAAGTTACAATGCCCATGCTCTGACATGACAAAAGTGAGAAGACAATAGCGTTAAGGTCTTTGCTCAGTTGGAGTAAAGAATCCTAGGAGGGACTATGGCATTTGAGGCAGAAATAGGCCTTCAAGCCAGAAACTCATTTAGATTCAATGACCTTGTGCTTTAGGGGCTCCTCTATTTAAATGTTAGAGTATTCTTGGGGGGATATTTATTAGCGAGGATGACGATGGAGGGAGGGTCACTAATGGGAGAACCTTATGACCAACTTTGCCCAAGAAAAGCCTGAACTAGCCTGTACAACACTGTGCCCCCTCTGAGAGTTGGGGAGCACACCTTAAAGGTAAGGGCCCTTCCCTTTGGACTCCATGCCTGACACATGCGACCCCAACCACCTGCTCACAGGTAATTGGACCATGGGTGGGTGCCTCTTCCAGAGCTAGCTAATTTATAGGCTGGCCTTTCATCTATAAGGTCAAGAGTCTCAGGCAACTCGATGCAACTTGGATGACGGGACTAACTGAATCACTCATATCCTCGCTCAAGGCGTTTGAATGTGAAACAGACACAAGAAAAGTGTATTTATAGGGAGCAGCAGGAGCAATAGGACAGTGAAAGAGAGGAACTGATCCACAACATGAAGGAACCGGAGGGGAACAATGGAAGGCTATGATGTCCCCAAGGCTGCTGGTAAGCTGCAAAAACTCTTGTTGATCCTGAATGGTGTATCTGTCTTGAACATTTTAAATTCCTTCTATTCCCATGTTGTTTTTAGGATAATTGTGTTTTAAAGAAAACTGGTCCCTGATCTTGGTTCTCATTATCAGAATATGTGCTTTTGGTTGTAGCATTCCGCTTTGCTTTTCCTAATAACTTAGTTATTAATAATTTGCTCTGAAAGCTTGAAAATTTGAGTATATATGATGTATGACATCAGTATGTGAGTTACTGAGACAATGTAAGAGCTTATCAACCTTTGAAGATATTGGTACTCAACATCTTTTTTGACTGTAAATTTTCTAGATTTAACTTTTTCTGGATTAATTTCTTGGAAAGTCACCAAATTAATCATTTAGAAAAGAATTTAAAACTACATGGCTTCTTAAACTTTTGGTATGTTCATTAAGAATTGTGTACAAATTGCTCATAATGTCTGCACACTGACCTTCAACACGACCAAAATCAGCTGAATTATGAAAGAAAAAGTTTGGGCATGGTGGCTCATGCCTGTAATCCCAACATTTTGGGAGGCCGAGGTGGGAGGATTGCCTGAGTTCAGGAGTTCGAGACCAGCCTGGGCAACCTGGTGAAACCCCATCTCTACCAAAAACACAAAGAATTAGCTGGGCATGGTGGCATGTGCCTGTGGTCCCAGCTACTCAGGAGGCTAAAGTGGGAGGATCACTTGAGCCCAGCAGGCAGAGGTTGCAGTGAGCTGAGATTGTGCCACTGCACTCCAGTCTGGGCAACAGAGTGAGACCCAGTCTAATACATAAATAAATGTAAATAAGACTTGAACAGACACCTCACCAAATACGTACAAATGACCAAAAAAACCCCAAAAAAACAAAAGCACACAAAAAGATACTCAACATCCTTTGTCATTAGGGAAATGCAAATTAAGACAACAATTAGATAACACCACACACCTATTAGAATGACCTAAATCCAGAACACTGACAGCACCAAATTCTGGTGAGGATGTGGCAAAATAGGAACTCCCATTCGCTGCTAGTGGGCATGCAAGATTATATGGTCCCTTTGGAAGACAGTTTGGCAGTTTCTTACAAAGCTAAGCTATTTTACCATACAACTCAGAAATCTCACTCCTAAGTAACTGACTTGAAAATTTATGTCCACACAGAATCCTGTACATGAGTGTTTATAGTAACTTTTTTCACAATTACTAGAAACTGGAAGCAACCAAGACTAAGATATCCTTCAAAACAGATGTACAAACTGTCATACAGCCAAACAATGGAATTATTCAACAATAAAAAATAAATAAATATCAATAATACAATGACTAAATGGAATGTAGTATCCTAGATAGGATCTTGGAAGAGAAAAAGGACGTTAGAGAAAAACCTAAGAAAATCTGTATAAACTATGGACTTCAGTTAATAATAATATATCAGGACTGGCTCATCAATTCTAAGAAATTTATCAAACTAATGTAAAATGTTAATAACAAGATGATGGGGTTCAGGACACACTACTCCAAAGTACGGCATCTTGGCATTTGAGAAAACAGCAGAAACTGGAAGGTCACACTCACCTTCCCTCTGCCCTTCCCCCCGGAGCAAGCCATAAAATCTAGTGTCAGTGGGAAAAACTCCAATTGTTTTTTGCTCTGTTTTCACACCACAACAATTAACATAGAAGACTTTTGTGACCCCAAAATGTGGTGATTTCTCCCCACCAGCAAGCAAGCTATTTTGCAGCAGACACCAGTGGGGTGTCCTCCAATTTAGTTTCAAAACTATCTACCTGGAGATAGCAGCAGATGTAGCAGATTGAGGGCTCATTCCCATAAGATTGTCTCCCACTTTCAACTCCGATGGCAAGCCCAAGGTTGTTTTGCCTGTGGTTCTCAACTACTGGCTGCAAATCAGGGTTCCCACGACTCCCTCCATGAGTTTAATTAATTTGCTAGGCTCACAGAACTCAGGAAACATTTACTCACATTTACTGGTTTATTACAAAGTGTGTTACAAAATGAAGAGATGCATAGGGTGAGGTATGGGGGAAGGGGCACAGAGCTTCTGTGCCCTCCCTGAGCATGCAACCCTCTAGGAACCTCCACATGTTCAGCTATCTGGAAGCTCTCCATACCCTCTTCCATGGGCTTTTTATGGAGACTTCATAGCATAGGCTTTACTGAAGTATAAACACCCATGTAGAAATGTGACTGGCTGGGCACGGTGGCTTACACCTATAATCCCATACTTTGGAAGGCCGAGGCAGGTGGATCACCTGAGGTCAGGAGTTCCAGACCAGCCTGGCCAACATGGTGAAACCCTGTGTCTACTAAAAATACAAAAATTAGCCGGACGTGGTGGCGGGCTCCTGTAATCCCAGCTGCTCGGGAAGCTGAGGCAGGAGAATCGCTTGAACCGGGAGGCAGAGGTTGCAGCGAGCCGAGATCATGCTACTGCACTCCATCCTGGGCGACAGAGTGAGACTCTGTCTCAAAAAATAAAAATAAAAAAAAAGAAATGTGATTGGTCAAAAAGGGCATGATCTAACAGTAATAGATGGAGTGGGCAAACCCAGCAAGGCCTGTCCGTTCTGACTCCTCTTGGCTTCTCTGTGCAGTCTTCCTTCCTCCAGAGCATGCGGCAAGATCCCTTTTGAAACTGGGGTCTTATCGCCTGCAATTAGACAAGGTAGGTCTGAGAATTTCTTTATGGCCAACTGTAAGACAGAGAGGTGGGGGAAGATTAGAGTGCATTTTTAGTTTCTATGACCTGCCTTGGGGAGAAATTACAAGGACCATGGGAGTTCTGAGTCAGAAATCATGGATAAAAACCAACATAAATATGTATTTAAAATAATGTCACACCTAGGAAGGATTTTCTGACCTTCCCATGAAGCAGATCATAAGACCCTCATTAAAGAGGTGCCCTCCCTGTACTGGAGAAAAGGAATATCCCTATCTGTCAAGACACAGGGACTTGGAGAAGAATCTGAGCAAACAGGCCTTGCTAAGTTCCCCCAGTTTATGACCACTAGATCATACTTTTTCATCCAATCATACTTCTCCACAACTATCCACTTCTTCATCAAACCTAGCATTAAATATACACAGGTTTACCCATTTCTTGGGCTCTTTATTTTCTTGTAAAGGCTCACTATCATGTAAAACGTACACTAAATATCTGTCTGTCTTTTGTTATAGGGGCCTCAACCATGAACCTAGCAATGCCTAAGGAAAATATATTTTCCCTCCCTTACAAGGAGAGGCTGTGGAGAAGGGGTGGTACATGGAAACTCTGTACGGTCTGCTCAATTTCTTTGTAAATTTAAAAGTGTTTTAAGAAATAAAGTCTTTTTGCTTAAAAAAAAGAATAAAGTTCTCTTGGTGAGTTTAAGAAAAGAATGAGAAACATTTTAACTGAATTTTTAAAATTCATTGCTTTCTAATTCCCTTCAGTTATTTATTAATTTATAAAATTATTTAATTTATTAATTTATTTCATTTATTCATAAATAAAGTTAACTTACTTCATTGATGTCTGATTCTCTCTGATACCCTTTCCCCCTAGAGATCAGAAGCTTTTATTGAGTCTCCTTACTCCCCATAACACAATAGGTTCAAAAAGAAACTGTTTTCCCTTTTTCCTTCTCTTTTTTCATTTTCTTAAACAAGATATAGTTGGAAAAATTGATTGTGCGATTAGGGTCTCATCTGGAGATGTCATGTTAGAGAAGGATTCTTATTGAATCCAGCGTGACAAGCCACTTTAGGTAACACAAGTTGACTTTGTTTAGGGTGCCAATCAATGCCTAGAAAGCTCTCCCAGGAAAACGGGCTGGTACCTGGTTTACGGATGTGAGATGGGCCAACACCCTCAGCAAACTTGACAGGACTGCAGGGGAAAGCTGGAGAAAGAGTTTTCAAAGCTTAGTTTCCTAGCCTCAGGATGGCAAGTAACAGAAGATTTTTAAAAATCCGAGATCACTTAAGAAAACTTTAAGGCAAACATTAATTTGTGGCCTCAGTAGTTATTCAATAATATAAAGTTCTAAATATGCAAAAGCAAACTCAAGAAAGCATCTGTGGTTAAGTACTTTGCTACCCCATGGTAATAATTAGGCCAAAGCTAAGGAGACCAGTCTTTTTTGTGTGTGATCAAAAATATACTTTTTTTGAGATTATTATGATTACAGGTTGAGGAGAGGAGAGAAATACACAACCAGGAAAAACTGTGAATGACTTTGAGATGTAGGAAAAATTAGTGCCCTATCCAGTATACCCTTCTCTGACTTTCATCATCATAAGCTAGTTCACATACTATAAGCAGTTTAGCGGATTCATTTTTTTTAGATGGGATCTTACTGTGTTGCCCAGGCTGGACTTGTACTCCTGGGCTCAAGCAATCTTCCCTTCTTAGCCTCCTGAGTAGCTGGGACTACAGGCATGTACCATCTGGCCTAGTTATCAATACAAATGACTCTTGACCACAGACATGAAAATTAATTTTGTCCAATGGAAGTACAATTAATTTATTTTCCTCACCACGAAAGAAGCCAGGTTTGCGTCTGTTGAGCAAATTCATATTAACATTGTTGATTGCCTCTGCATGTGTCTGCTCTTGAGGTTTTCCTTTTAATTGATTGTAACTTGCTTCTGTTTCTCAGATTAAATAGTGAGCAAAATAAACTCTTTTTTCATTTTTTCATTTTATATTGGTATGAGAGTCATGATTTTACCCTTTAAAACAATGTGGCCTTTTATAATGTTATTAAATAGTATAATCTACTAAATGATTGATTTAATATAATCAAAATCTAAGATTGATTCATGAAAGTCTTTATATGCTAAATTACAGAACTTGGACTGTATTACGTAGAGGTCAGAGCTAGATTCCACTGTAGGAGATGAGGTGTTGACACCAAAAGGGTAGGTGCAATTGCTCAGGGAAAAGGAAGACAGTGGGCTAAGTCATTTCTCTCTACATACCAATGTTTGAGAGGCAGGTGGAGGAAGAGAAAGCTATCAAAGAAACCAAGAAGTAATAGCTGAAGAAGTAGGGGGAGAGAAGGAGAGGATTTCCATAAGATGGCAGAGGTCAGAGGAGTCAAATGCTGCGGAGACAAGGCAGTGCAAAGAAAAACACACCTTTAGGAGGCCGAGGCGGGTGGATCACCTGAGGTCAGGAGTTTGAGACCAGCCTGGCCAACATGGTGAAACCCCGTCTCTACTAAAAATACAAAAAATATTAGCTGGGCCTGGTGGCGCATGCCTGTAATCCCAGCTACTTGGGAGGCTGAGGCAGGAGAATCGCTTGAATCCAGGAGGCGGAGGTTGCAGTGAGCCGAGATTGCGCCACTGCACTCCAGCTTGAGTGATTGGGGGAGATTCTGTCTGGAAAAAAAAAATAGAATAAACACCCCTAAGCACACTCACTGGATTGGACCATGTGTGGCTCCAGCCAGCGCAGTTCTTGTCAAGTGATGGAGGCAGCCAAGGAATCAGAGATGTGAATGGACAGTGAGAATTTGAAGGATCAAGTGTGTACATCTTTGAAGAAGGCTTTGATTTGAGAGGAAGGACTTAGTTAAGAGGTGGCCGAAGGTGGAGAGAGAGGATCATTTATGGATGGAGAAAACAGTGGTGGTTGGAAAAAGGGATTTGGAACTCAGGCCCACTAGTCTGGGGCAGAAGGAAGGACCCTAGTGCTCTGACCTGGGGGGAGGAGTGAGGGTGGGCAGGGACAGACACAAGCTTGTGGGTCAGGAGATGGGTGGTGTAGAAGAAATTTAGAACCACTGGCCTCAATTTTCTGGATGAAGTCAGTGACAGGTAAGGTGAGAACTCCCCAGGGAGCTTAAGGTGAGGGGAACATTCAGAGCTGTCTCTGAGAGGGAACCTAGAAAGAATGTCTAAGCGCAAATAAAGAGAGCAAGGAGCAGCCCTGCAGGCCTCCCTGAGGATACACTTTGCAATGGATCTGGTGTGCATGGTCCTGAGATATTTTCCAGCAGAGGCCAACCACTTAGGAAAGGGACACAGATGACGCACAATGGAATTGATTTTCCAGGGCTGAGGTTTACTCAGGCAAGGGCAGAATAAAACGTTCATGGCCAGAACAAACTGGAATTTAGAAAGAGGCTGGAAGAGAAAGGTAAACTGTGTCAGCTGCAGGTGTTCTGGAATGATTTGTGGTATCTGTCCTCTATGACAAAGATTTCAGGGTGGACGAGTCCCCCTCAGAATGTAGGTTATTTTGTTAAACAGTAGAAAGGGCACTCATTAGAGAGTCAGGAGGTCATGGGTCATCTTCTGATCTGTGTGGCCTTAGGAAAATCACTTAACCTCTCTGATCTCAGTTGCCTCATCTGTCTAATGAGAGCACTCAGTCAGATCATTCCCAGGGTTTCCTCTAGCAAGTACCATAGTGTTTGTGTCCAGTGGAGTATTTAGGGATGAGCTGTCAATATCTGAGGTCCTCTCTACCATCTTTCTTATTGGAAAACTACCATACTTCCTCAACAGTCCTTGGTCTTTCCAGCAAGTTCTATCTTCCAGGCATCCATCCATCCATCCAGTTTTATCTCTGGCCACCCATCCGGTTTTATAAACAAGTTGTGAATCCCGTAGGCTCCATCTACACTTCCAAGACCAGATTGTCCTAGTGGGTGGCAGTGGGGCCAATGGTCAGAGCAGAGTTTCCCACCAGGATCAGCCAATTAAATGACCTCCTGCAGTGCAATCAACTTTGTTTTCAATGAGCAAACATATTAATGCCTATCAGTCTCATCTGCTATGTCTTTCCCTTGTAATTTTTTTAACTTAAAAAATTGTGGTAAAACATACATAACATAAAATTGACCATATTAAATATTTTAGTTATACAGATCAGTGACATTAAGTACATTCAGATTGTTGTGCAACCATCACCACCATCTATCTTCAGACCTTTTTAATTATCCTGAACTGAAACTCTACTAATTAAACAATAACTCCCAATCCCCCACTCCCATATCCCCTGGCAACCACTATTTTACTTTCCATCTCTATGAATTTGAGGCTACTTGTCTACTCCATGAATTTGAATTCTACTTGTCTCAGATAAATAGAACTACACAATATCTGTCCTTTTGTGTCTGGGTTATTTCATTTAGCATAACATCCTCAATAAATCTATATTGTAACATGTGCCAAAATTTCCTTTTTTTAAGCTGAATAATATTTAATAATTTGGAAAAACTACAGTTTATTCATTCATCTGTAGATAGACACTCGGATTGGTTGTATCTTTTGGGTATTAGGAGTAATGCTGCTGATACGGTTTGGCACTGTGTCCCTATTCAAATCTCATGTCAAGTTGTAATCCCCATGTGTTGGAAGCGGGGCCTAGTGGGAGGTGATTTGATCATGGGGGTGGTTTCTAATGGTTCAGCGCCAGCCCCTCGTGCTGTCTCTTGATAGAGTTCTTACGAGATCTGGTTGTTTAGAAGGTTGCGGCACCTCCCTCCCCTCCGTTCTCTCTCTCCTGCTCCACCACGGTAAGATGTGCTTGTTTCCCCTTCGCCTTCCGCCATGATTGCAAGTTTCCTGAGGCCTCCCAGTCATGCTTCTTGTTAAGCCTGTGGAACTGTAAGTCAATTAAACCTCCTTTCTTCATAAATTACCCAGTCTCAGGTAGATCTTTATAGCAGTGTGAAAAGGGACTAATACAGCTGCTGTGACCCTTAAACATTTTTAAATGTATACATGTGAGATAAAAAGGAGAGGAATGTAGAATCGTGGGATTTGGATATCAGAGAGACAAGAACTGCTTGCATCTGTGAGTCAGTAGAAAGGGGGTGTCCAGGTCAGACTACATCAATGATTTGGCTGGAAGAGAGCTTGCTCCCTAGCTGCTTGGCTTAAGGAGAGTTTTTTACCTCACCTTGGTCTTTCAGGGTTGTGGGAGAGTGAGCTGCAAGTCTGCGTAGCTGGCAGTGATTCTGAACATGCAAGAATGGATTTCCCTCTGCATTCAAGGAGGCTATGCAGAAATAGGGACCTCTCAATCCTTATGCTTTGAGGGACCATATCTTCTTCCCTCCTCTAGAAACTCTATGTCCACATAGGCAGCATTGTGTACTGTGGGGGCTTAGAAAAATCTGTCAACTGATTGACTGAGTGACTGATGTGTTCACTGATTGACCAGAATTGATACCCCTGGGGTCCCAAAGCACAGAGGTGCAAGGCAAGTTTTGTACTGGAGGAGCCCTTAGCTGATAGCCAGGAGAAGAAAAAGAAGGATCTGAGACAATTCAGCACTCAGGTGATGCCTCCTCTAATTATTGATGTTTTCTATTTGCTATGTACATTCATTGCAATTGACTTCTGAGAAGGAGATGTCATACATATTTGGGTTCTTCGTGTCCAAAGATGATCATGAAATGCCTTCCATAGAAGTGAGGTTGAGGCATCATGTGATGAGGAGTGAGGGTCTCTTCTGTGGGGGAGTAAGAAGGTGCCAGCATGCACAGGACGACTGCTAGGCTGAGGCGCTGGCTTGGCTCACAGTGTGGGCTTTTTCTTTGAGTGCAGTTTTTTTGGGGGTGTGGGTAAGCTCCTCTTGAGGAGAAACTGAGAGCATGAGCTCACACACCAAATATGGAGCTGGGCTTTGTTTGAGAGGTCAGCATGGCTCTGTCTCAGAACAGTTGTGGCAGGATGGGCTGGGATAGTTGTGGGAGGTGTGGTGCTGGATGGACTTGGGGTGTTCCCTGGCCTGACCCTGTAGGTGACTGCTTAATTGCAGAGTGTATGCTCTCTCCTCCTGGCAGGCAGGGGTGTAGTCTGGACTGGTGTGATCAGAAAAGTTACGGAGATCAGGAGGCAGAGATTATGGTGCTGTGGGGCCTGTTAGCAGAAACAGACTCCAAGGCTAGTTGATGAATATCATGAATTTATGCATTAATAAGGCCAGTACCAGCACCAACTAGGTTGAAAGTCGTTTGGACTAAGACACTTACAGACCCCATTTCCCTCCAATTGTCAAGTGGTAAGACAGTATCAGGAAACATGGGAGGAGGAGACTTTAAGTCCTGTTTGTTCAGGGATTTCATCTTATCATGAGCTTTGAGCATCTTATGATCCATTAGACCCTCCCATGAACACCAAAATTATTCCAGGCAGATTCAGACTTTTCTTGACATCTAGGAGCCAGCCATATTGAATGGATCTGCCACATGTTCTACATCAGTGGTGAGATGGTCATGATTCTAGCCACCGTTTACCATCCAGCCATGTCTCTCTCCAACATCAGCCTAGTGCAAGCTTCAGTGAGCTCTCGCCTGTGCTATGGCAGTGTCCTCTCAACGAGATTCACCATCTACTGTGGGTTCCTCCAGTTGGCCCCAGATTGATGCCTGAACAATTTTCTAAAAATCCATATCTGATTGTGTCTCTCCGCTCTTAAAGCCCTTCACCCATTTTCCATTGCAGGGGAAATAAAAACAATTCCTTGGCATGGTTGATGAGGCCTTGAGCATTATTACCTCACCTCCCTTTCTAGCCTCCTGCCTGACTGGGGCCTCTCATTCTCTGAGCCCCAGCTCACTGGCCTTCTTTCAGGCTCTTGTATTTACCAAGCACTTATCTGGCACAGGGATTTTGCATATGCTATTCTTTCTATCTAAATAATCCTCCTCCTCTGTTCACCTAGTTAATCCCTACTCATCTTAGTTCAGCAGTCACTTCCTTGGGAAGCTTTTTCTGATCTCTCTGACCAGTTCACATCATTCCATTAACAGACTCTCCTAGAACCAGGAGCACTTGTACTTGATACAGTTGCAATCTTATATTTATTTAATTTTTTTTATTAGTGATTGTCTCCCTTCCAAGATATTAGCTCTATAAGGGCAGAAATAATATTGCTTTTGCTCATCATTCAATCTCAGTGCCTGTCATTCACACTACAAATATTTATTGAGCATCTACAATACACTAGGCACTGTTTCAGTGCTCAAGATATTGGGATAAACAAGTTAGACAAGATCCCTTTCCACATGGAGTTGTGCTTTTTGGCACATATTAGTAGTCTACTAATATCACTTTGATAAAATTATTCAGTGTTTATTATGTGTTAGGTACTTGCTAACCACTTTTAATGGATTATCTCACTTCATCATCTCAAAAACTTGTTTTTACCTTTTCTATTTTCTGTTTGGGATCTTTGCAACAGTAGCTTGAGTTTCTCCAACTCCTTGTTTCCCAGTATGTTGTCATCAGTGACCTGCTAGGACCCTTCCTTGGTTAATTGATTTCCTTTTATCCCTGATTTCCCACTCCTATAACACACCCTTCCTCCCCTACAATGATTCCAATGTATACTTTCATGTGAATGTGTTCTTGAAAAATAGGGTTTGTTGTTTTGTTGCATTTTTTCGATGTTAGGTGAATTTTTAATGTACACAAATGCTTTTGTGTTATGTATTTCTTACTTTCCACCCAATTGCACTTCTCATGATCCAATCATGTTGCTCTATATGCATGGAATTCACTATTTCTAATTGTTGATGGTACTCTATGAAATGCATTGAACACATTTTACCTTTCCAGTTTCTTGGAGATGAGCAACCAGGCTTCCTCATTACAAATGTGTAATTTGTGCAAGAAACATGCTTGCCCACATTTTCTTCTTACTTACAAAGAGACAAAATTATATACCTAATGAGTGGCAGAACAAAAAGTTTTATGCGGCTATAATTTATCACTGTAAAATGCTGCCTAGAATTGACATGAATACCAAAAATCATGTAAATATTACATATTAATTAGATAAATGTAAAGATAAAGCATTCTAAAACATGAAATGGGACAAACTAGACCCACACAGGCCTTGATCACAATGTAGAGATATGATTACTAACTCAGCCTAGAAGGACAGAGAGAAGGTGGCGTTTGGAAGGAAGAGCAGCAGGCAGGTAAACAGACAAGAAGAAAAGCAGTCCATGTGTCTGGAACTACATGTGCAAAAGTACACAGGTGAAGTAACAAGTGATAATATTTGATTAGAAATAAAACATTATTTACAATAGCACTTGAATAGTCAAACAAGTGTTTTTGATTTTTAATCAAATCTAGGAGTAAATCTAATGAAAGATGTGTAATAATTTTATGCTGAAAACTACAAACATTATTGAGAGGAGTTAATGAAGGCACAAATAAGTGTAGAGATATACTATGTTTATGAATTAGAAGGCTCAATATTTTAAAATGTTTATTCATTCTAAATTGATCTACAGTTTCAACTATCAATTCCAGCACCTTTTTTGTTGAAACAGAAAATTTAATTCTGAAATTTTAATGAAGATTCAGAGGCTCTAGAAATGCCAAAACTATCTCGACAAAGAAAAGTGTCAAAGAACTTACACTGCACGATTTCAAGGTTTCCTCTAAAGCACAGTAACCAAGACAGCATGGCATTGTTTAAGGATAAACACCCAGGTCAATGACAGAGTCTAGAAATAGAGTCTAGCAAACCGAGTCTAGAAATAGACCTATACTTTTATAGTCAACTGGTTTTTCACAAGGGCACCAAAGAAATTCAATGGTGAAAGGAAACTGGAACTACCTCAACCCCTGTCTTTAGCACCACACACACACACACACAGACACACACAGACACACACAGACACACACACACACACAATTTGGCTGACCCAAAGCCTGTATGAAAAAGCCAGAACTAAAAAGCTTCTAGAATAATATATGAGAGATTCTTTGCAAATTTGAGTTAATCAGAGATGCATGAGACAAGACACAGAAAGGACTAACCATAAAAGAAAAACAACTGGTAAATTGGACTTCACTACAATTAAAACTTCTGCCTATTCAAATATGCCATTAAGAAAATGAATAGACAAACCACAAACAGGGAAAACTATTTGTAAAGCACATACCTGAAAAAAATGTTTATATTCAGGATATGTTATTAATAAAATAATAAATTCAATTTTAAAATGAACAAAAGACTTAAGTAGGTACTTCACAAAAGAACATGTACAAATGAACAACAAACACGTGACAATATGCTCACATTATTAGTCATCAGGAAAATGCAAATTAAAGCCTCAATGAGATTCTACTATTCACACACTAGAATGGCTAAAATAAAAGAAAAAAACAGACAATACTAAATTTTAGTAATGATGTGGAACAACTGGAATTCTCATAGATGATGATGAAAAAGTCAAAAGGCATAACCACTTTGGAGAACTGTGTGATGGTTTCTAGTAAATTTAACCATACAACTACCTTGTGACCTAGCAATTCCACTCCTAGATATTTGCCCAAAATATATAAAAACAAGTGTCCACAAAAAGGCTAGCACAAAAATATTCGTAAGAGCCTTATCCCAAACTGGAAACAGATAATCCCAAACTGGAAACAGACCAAATGTTCATCAACAGAAGAATAGATTTTTACAATGTGGCATAGTCACACAATGAAATAAGCAAAATAATACATTCAGTTTGATCCCATTTATGAAGTTTATAAACAGACAAAACTAATCTGTGGCAATTGATGTCAGAAAATGGTTGCCTTGGGGTTGAAGGGTGGTAGACTGACTGAAAAGGTGCATGAGAGAACTTTCTAGAGTGGTAGAAATGTTCCGTGTTTTTGCCTTGCATACACAATTGTCAAAATTCTTTGAACTGATCACTTAAGATATTTTTATGTTTTTGTATGCTAATCACATTGAAAGGAAGAAAGGGAGGAAGGAAAGGAAAGGAAGGAAGGAAAAAGGGAGGGAGGGAGGAAAGAAGGAGGAAAGGAAAGAAGGGAAAAAGGAGAGAGGGAGGGAGGAAGAAAGGAAAGAAGGAAGGAAGGAAGGAAGAAAAAGAAAAGGAAGGAAGAGAAGAGAAAGAATGAAAGAAGGCAGGCAGGCATATGGTCTGGTCAGAGAATTTTGAGGAAATGCTTATGCCTAGAACATGGGTGCTATGTGGGAAAGGGGCAGGAAAGGAGGGTAGCCCCTGCTTATGCAGACCAAGCTGACTATGACTCTTTTTTTCTGTAGGCAGAAAGAGACCTGAGTAATTCTATGAAGGTGAATTGCATTCATGCCTTGGAAAGGCTATGTTGATGATAGATGAGATTTGGGGAGTTGGACATCTGCTGTGACCAGGGGGCTGTTACAGAAGGGAATTTGGAGATTCCAGTTGGTTACAGTGGCACATGCAATGTTATTTTTAACCTCCCTAACAGGAGGGACTGGCATTTCTCTGGTTGCTAGGGAAATTGTGTTCCGAGCGGTTACATATTGGTTCCTAATTTTAAAAGCCTTAGGGAAAACTAGAAAACTTTATGAGCCAGTACCAGTATGTTGTTCTAGGACTGTGCACCTGCTAAAACGTGGCTATTTTTCTCTTGATGTACTCTTGGATAACTGTCACCATAGCAACAACAACGCAGAACCCTGCTGGTTCATAGTGGAGGATTCCTGTTGGTTTAGTGATGGAGGCCAGTCTAGAAGCCCTTTCAGGATTGCAGCAAGATGTTGGATTAGGTGGGATACACTGGTAGCCACTGGATGCGCAAGGCACAGGGTGGGGAATGTGTGGGCAGAGGGTAATCCGCAGGAGAAACCTAGTTTCCACTGGGCATCATTACTATTGGGCAAATTCCCACATTCCCTCAGCATTAGGCTAAAGTTTAATGTGATATCCTATGGGTGGCACGAAGAGAAGAATCTCGAATTGCCCTCTGACTTTGGAGTCAGACCTTGGTCCAGTTAGCAGAGCACCAAGGTGTAGCCTGGGGGCTCTGGCTTCCCCATCATCTCCATCAGCACTGTTATCCAGCAAAAGGGACTCACTGCCCAATGTGCTGGAAACCAGTACTATGACACCAGGGTTTTAAAAAAAGAAAAGCTTTATGTCAAAAGTCAACTCACAAGGAGACAAGAGTCAAGCTCAAATCTGTTTCCCCAGGCTGGCTTCAAGGCAGTATTTTACTAGAAAACGTTCAGAGGGTGGATTCTGGGATCAGAAGGTGATTGGTGGACGGAAAGGGGAGGGCTGAAAAGTCTTGGGCATGCGCAGTTATGTCTCCATGCTACCTCATGGGTCCCATGTGCAAATTCAAAGGGAGTTAGAATGAAACCTGCAGTGGAAATTCAGGCTCTGACGTCAGCAACCTCGTTTTGCAAAAGCTCCAGTTGGCCACCTTGGTTCCAACTGATTTCAGCCGGCTTTTCTTGATCTCACAAGCAGAGAGAGTTTCAGTGTTTCAGCGAGTTGGTTTTTTTCTTATCTGCTACTCTGCAAACACAAGAATTTCTGTTAGCTACTAGTTTCTTACTCTTTGGAGCGCCGTTTCAGTTTCAGTTTTTCACCAAGTTGTTTCTTATCCGCTACCCTGTAAGCCCAAGAATTTAGTCATTGGTTTCTTTAACGGTTGGAGAAGGCAGGGTGTCAGCACCCATCTGCCCCAAGTAGTGGGGACAATTGACCTTAGTCTTATGTGAAGTGCGAATAAGATGCAGCTTAGCCCCCTCACTCCATAGACAATGCACTGGACTGTCTCTGCTACAGCCCAGGACTTCGTCTTGGCATCCCTGACCATTTCAACCCCCATTTTAGTGTTCTTTCCTCCTCACTGCCAGATAGCCATTTTAGGCAGCTTGTGGGTGTTTTTTAGAAGCGATGTGTGTGTGAGATGAAGGAGGCTTCCCTTTGTTTTGGCTTTAAACCCGTCTGTGTAAGTGAGAGTGAGTGGAAAGCTATGGCTCCTCTCTCCAACACTCCCAAGGCAGGCAGCCCTGACCTCCTCAATTGCAGATGAGAAGTGGGCCTTTGGAAATTATCCAGACCAGTGAATCTCACCATTTTTCTCCCCTGCCACATCATACATGATGGATGAAGTCCACATGCTTAACAGGATTCCATGCATGCACTTATTTTGATGAAACAGCCAAAAACATTCTGTGAGGAAATAATTGTCCTCAGGAAAGGGAATAATGGTTGCCTCGGCATGGGGTGGAGGCCCCTGAGTGTACTCTGCCATGAGACCCCTTCCTTCCCACTCAGGATGTATTTCGAATGCAGGTAAGTTAGTGTGAAATTATCTTGTAGTAACCTACAGTCAACTTAAATTCATTTTGCAACGTGAAATCACCCACAGATCTTCCTGATGATGGATAAATCACGGCGTTCCCAGTAGCTCCTCTTCACTTCCCCGCTGACACCTGCTGCCAGCCCTGCAATTCTTTGGAGCCCCCTAAGTTGACCATTCTGTCCTCAGCCTTCACAACACAACTTACCGCTGTAAAAGAGATGGAGGAGGGGCTCCCAGTAATCTCTAGATTTGTGCGGCATTGATTTGTAGGAATAGGAGGTTTTTGGTTTTGCACTCCACCCCTTCCCTTTAGAGTGTTGATTTTTGGCGCCCTCTTCAATATTTCTATCAGAAGAATCGAGAGGTGTGGACAACAGTTTCCGACACATTTCCCCCAGCATGTTCTAGAGAGCGTGAGGGAGAAAGGCAGAGACACACCCCTCAGCACAGGCTCTCACATCCCCTACAAAGCCCTCCACCAGATCTCAACACATCCGAAGGACAGGAGCTCTCCCTGGAACCACCCCCACATGGTCATTCTCTCAGGACATGGGAGGGGAGAGAGCTCTCCCTGGGGGAGGAGGATCAGAATCTTCTTCTAGCAGGAAGGTGGGGGCAGAGCGTTATGTGTAATAGAGACAGCACAGTCTGCTCCCTCCTGCCCCATAATTATCAGAGTCCTGCTCTAGGGACTAGCAGGGGTCAGCTCCAGAGTGACATTTTTTCCCCCTGTGCTCCCGTCTGGAAAACCGTAAAGTTCAGGATTATGCGGAGAATGTCAGCCAGGATAGTGCCCGGTGTAGAGTGGTTCCTTATAGAAGTTGAAGACTGCTAAGCTGGGCACAGGGGCTCACGCCTGTAATCCCAGCACTTTGGGAGGCTGAGGCAGGCAAATCACTTGAGGCCAGGAGTTGGAGAACAGCCTGGCCAACATGGTGAAACCCCACTTCTACTAAAAATACAACGACAACAAAAAATTAGCTGGGCGTGGTGGCAGCACCTGTAGTCCCAACTACTGGGGTGGCTGAGGCAGGAGAATTGCTTGAACTCGGGAGGTGGAGGTTGCAGTGAGCCAAGGTCGCACCACTGCACCCCAGCCTGGGTGACAGAGTGAGACTCTGTCTTACAAGAAATAAAAAAAGAAAGAAAGAAAGACTGTTAAGACTGTTAGCCATCCAGGGGGGAGGTGGAAAAGAACACTGCACTCCAGCCAAGATGACCCCGTGTTAGCTGTGACCCTGGAGGGATAATGTCATCAATGTGAATAGGACTAGTATATGTCCATCACCACCACCACCACCACCATCATCATCCTCCCCATTTTTCCTGGGAAGATCATCCCTGTGATCCTACAAGCCTGTCAGTGAAGATTCCCAGCAGTGGGGTTGGCCCAGAGCAGAACTTAACTTGAATTTGATGGATTTAAGCCAATGTCCCTCAAGTCCCATGCAGAAAGCATACCTTCATTTATTCTTTTGTGTTTTGCTTTGTTGTCCTCATCTTCCCAGAATTGAAATATCATGGGACCCTCTTCTCAGGGAAAGAAAGGGGGAAATTTGACTGCTGGAAAGAGTGAGAGGTGAGATCCCCTTCAGACTTTCCACTCCTGAACACTGCGTGGGCCTGATGAGACAGGCGCGTTTTGTTTGGATGCTAAATTAAATGGAGAGGAGACCTTATGATGTGAGTTTGGCAGAGGAATAAATCAAATAAAACAGTAAGGAAAGCAGTTAGCCAAACAAAATGGGCTTACAACCCTGGATATTAATGAGGCTTTTACTTTAAACGGGTATGTTTAATCAAGCAACGTGAATCCATATTGGGAGCGGGAGGAATTATGGTGATTGTTTTGGAATCCTGCCCAAAAGAGGTTTGACTGTGTTATCTTGTGCTAACAGGAGCACCCAGGGAGCAAGAGAAGCCCTGCGACAGCAGCAAGGGACACTGTGGGGCTGCAGGGTAAGTAACCCTCGTGCTCCCTCACTCTTCAAATGAGAGCCGGGGTCCTAGAATTGGATCCCAGACACCAGCATCCTGAGATCCATGAGATAAGGTGAGGTGGGGCTGGAAAGGCCTCAAGGGAGGAGAGGAGGCAGGAGAGGAGTGATAGGGATGCAGGCTCCAGGAGGAGGGAGATGCTTCAGCATCGTCCAGCACATAGCTGTCTATCCCCTTCTCGAAACGAGATGCTGATGGCAGGGTGAGAGGATTGCTGAGAGAGAGGAAAAAGGAGAGCACAAGGCTGTAAAAGCCATAATGCCTGGCCCTCCCCAGACCTATTCTCAGAGGACAACACTTAGGATTCTCAGTGACAACCCTTAGGATGCAGGGTGGGTCTTTTTACTTGTCACATGAGTGATGTAGACAGTAAGTGCTTACTGGCAGTGCTGTTTCAGGGGGGAAAATGCCTGAACAACTTCCTGGAATTTCCTTCTCAGAATAAGTATGCCAGATTGGCATTTTAGAATCTTGTCTTTGACAGTATGACACAAACAGATAAAACACAATGATGGAATCAAATAATAAAATATGCTATGAATATGCATTTTCCCTCACTCATGTAGTAATCGAAATGGTATTTTCTCGGGTGCTTTTTAAGAACTCTGCTAAATTGCATTCCATTTTTCCTGGGTGTGGCACCTGATGGTGAGCACTGGGAGGAACACGGGGAGAGTGGGCAGAGGTGGGAGCGGAGTCTAGCATCTATAGTTCTGACACCTGTCACTCACTTGCTGTGGGGGTGAGAGGGTTGGGAGAGTGGGTTTTACCACCAGAGAAGCTTTTTTTTAAAGTGTATCAGCCATTGACTTTTAGTATATTCACAGAGTTGAACAATTATCACCAAAACCAATTTTAGAACATTTTCATCATCTTCCAGAGAAACCCAATGTTCTAGAGCAACAGTTCCCCATTTTCCCTCAACACTGCCTTCTCCACCCTAGCCTAGCCCTAGGCAACCACTGATTGACTTTTTTTGTCTCTATAGACTTCTGGACATTTTGTATAAATGGAATCATAAAATAAGTGCCCTTTTGTGTGACTGGCTTCTTTTACTTAGCATAACATTTCCAAGCTTCCTATAATATATTTTTGCTTAGATGCATTCAGGAGGGATGGTCAGGGCAGACCTGAGAGACCTGAACACAGAGGGCCTTTGAGGGAAGCCGAGCTGAGCCTGGCAGTTGAACACAGAGCCTCAGAGAGACCCAATACTGATGGAATTGAGAGAGGGTGACATGGGAGTGGGTGTAAGGAAAGCCTCTGTAGAAGCAGGTACTGCAACAGGTGCTCTCAAAAGGACCTTCAGCCTGAGAAGTGTAAGAGTTTTAAAGAAAGAGGAAAGAAACACAAAATGTGGCTTGACAGTTAAAGACAGATTTATGTTAGAGAAAAATAAACCTGAGAGGGGCTTCTGGCCGATTTCGGTCAGGAGCACTCTCTCTTATAGACTAAAAGTATATATTGGTTTTAGAGTGAGAGGGCTTATCACAAGCTTGGAATATTTCTGTGTGAGGGAGAAGTTTTCTGGCAGGGCTAGAATGTCACCAGAAGGAGGGGAGGTTACCTTGGGGATGACATCTTTCTGGCTGGAGGGGGGTTATCTCAGGGATGGCATCTTCCCAGCCAGAGCAGGATGACCTCGGGACTAGCATGTCTCTGGGTGGGGAGGAATTTGAAATGTTTCTGGTTGGAGATGTTATTTATGGTTTAAGGTCGTGCTGACCTTAGCCATTAGGCTGATGTCCTTTGGATTTTGGTGGTTTTTGATTAAGGTGAACTTTAGAATGAGAGGCTTGTCCAAGATGGCGATCCTCCTGCTCTATCAAGAAGCAGCCCGGGAGGCAGGTGGGAGCCGTGTGGCTCCAGCTCAGGTGGTCTTTAAGAACAATCCGCTAGGGATTTTCATCTGCCAAATCACAGGGGCGGGGCTTGGTGGAATCTTAGATTTAAAAAGTCAAAATAGACTTTAAAAGATCATCCATTCCAACTACTTCATTTTACAGATGGGGAAACTGAGGCCCAGAATGACGAGAGTTCCTGTCTATGTTTGGAAGGACTAAAATAATGCGTTTAGTTCCCAATGAAACAGGGCAAAAATTGTTAACATCTGTGTGTTCTCCTTCCCCCCTCCCTAAGACAGAGAAGGTGGCAGCTCAGCCCTCACTGTGTCCTGGCCCATGACCCCCTAATTCACCAAAGGGGCTTGCAGTGGTTTATTAAAATGGCTGCATGTCCTCTGGCACTCTCTTCATGGAGAAGCGGGGTCTATGTGCCTTCTCTTGGAGTTGGATGGGCCTGTGCTGGTTTTCATCCATGGTCAGAACATGCTGTGGAAGCCCAGGCTCCCCAGGAAGTCCCTGTCTTGGTGGCCCTGTCAACAGCCTCCACTGAGCTGAGCTTTTCAGTCTACCCAGCCTGGGTGCCAGATGTGGGGAAGTTTCCAGCAGGGAAGCCTTCAGCCCCAGCCAATGAATTCTTCCCAGCTGAGGCCCAGACATCGGGGAGCAGAGACAAGCCATCCTCATGCCCTGTGTCAACCTGAAATAAGTGAAAGGATTGGAATCAGCTTTAAAGAGTTTATTCAAGTAAAAAGCTGGGAATGACCATTCAGAAAACAAGGATTCCACAGAAATGGAGTTAGTGCTCTGAAGTGAAAAGTTAAGGTCTGGCTTATATAGGAGGAAAATAAAGAAATTTAACAGGATTAAAACATTTTCTATACAAGCCTGGTTTATGGGTTCTAACAATTTGATAGTTTGTTTTCTTTTCTGTATGGCTTGCTTTCATTTGCTTTCCAATTTAAAAGAGTATATTTAACATAGTCACAAAGTCTTCGTGTGGAAAATGTAAGAGGGATGTTAATCTATAATAAAGACCAACACTAAGAGGGAAGGAGTCTTCCCTGGCACCCTTTAATCATTTGCAACATTTCACAAAACAGTGTAGGTAAGGAAGAAGGCTAATCTATAATCAGAGAGACCAAGTTTACAGCTGCCTGTCACGTGACTCAGGTTTCATAAGCACATTCCTTTGAGGCTGAAAGCAATTTAAAGTTCCAACAGCTGAGATTTTTAATTATTTATTTCACACCTGTTTACATTCCAAACTCACAGCATCAGTGAGCATTAGGAACAGGTGTTTGGCAACACTGTATTTTGGGGTGATGTGCTACACAGCAATAATAACTGGGATAGGCCTCAAGGTGCAGCTACTTGGGCAATAAAAGTATAAATTGGCTCAAAGTTTTTGGAGGTAGAGGGAATTTTGGTGGTACTTTGAAGAATCACAGGTAAATTCTACATACAAAGGTGTTAATGAACAAGAGAAGAAAGGAGTTACTTTGAGCCCTTGCCCTAAGTAAGAGCTTTGCAGATATTATATAATTTGGTTATTCTCACGGCCTCATAATATAGGATGATTCTACAGAAGAGGAAACTGACTCTCAGGAAGATTAAGTCCCAGCCTCCCAAGTTTGCACAGTAACAGCTGGCTGAGCCCAGACGCAAACCTGGGCCTGACAATGGCAAGGCTCTCATTGTCTGCCCTGCGAAGCTGCCTGCCTGTTTGATTGACTCTGTTTTCGTTTTCCCTTGTATTTATGTTTGAGGAACTGGAAACAACCTAAATGCCTAAGAATATGTGATGGTATACCACTTTGTTTTTAAATTTTAACTTTTATTTTAGATACAGGAGGTACATGTGCAGATTTGTTACATGGGAATATTGCATGATGCTGAGGTTTGGAGTATAGATCCCATCACCCCAGTAGTAAGCAAAGTACCTGATAGGTATTGTTTTTAACCCATCCCCCCTCCCTCCATTCTCTAGTAGTCCACGGTATCTATTTTTCCCATATTGTCCATGGTATACCACTTGCATGATACAAGGCAGCTGTGCTGTGAAAGATAAATATGAAGACCTTGAGACAAAAAAAAAAATGGAATACGGAAGAGTGTTGATGAAAAAAGCAGAACACAGAATTCTACATAGGCCTCTGTGTGTAAAGAAAGAGAAACACATAAACCATTGCTTTTGTGTGAAGAGTAGCTCTTGGTTGGTGTTTTGGGCTCAACTGTGTTCCCCAAAAATACACATACTGAGGCCCTGACCCCCAGCTCCTCAGAGTATTTGGAGATAGGGTCTTTAAAGAGAAAATTAAGTGAAAAATGACGTCAGCAGAGTGGGCCCTAATCCAATATTACTGGTGTCCTTACAAGAAGAAGAGATTAGGACACAGACACACACAGAGGGAAGCCCATGTGAAGACACAGGGAGAAGACGGTCATCTGCAAGCCCAGGAGAGAGGCCTCAGAGGAAACCAACTCTGCCAACACCTTGATCTTGGACTTCCAGCCTCCAGGACTGTGAGAAAATAAATGTCTGTCATTTAAGCCACCAGTCCTTGGTACTTGGTTATGGCAGCCCTAGCAATATAATACAGTTAGATTATCTAATTAGCCGGGGTGCAGTGGCTCACATCTATAATCCCAGCATGTTGGGAGGCCAAGGTGGGAGGATCACTTGAGGCCAAGAGTTCAAGAATTGTATCATAGAATTGTTTTAATCATTTAGATTTAAATTGAGCCAGGAATTGTTAATGCCCTCAACCTCAGTGATGACCATTTTTCATAACCTTACTGCAAAGAGTGGTCAATGGCCTCTAAGGCATTAGAATAATATTATTGTTTATGAACTCACTTGGGCAGCCTAGAAGCCACAGGGGGTTAAATCCAGCAGTCTTTGAAAAATAATACAAGAAAGGCTACTTGCTATCACAAGTACTTTATTATTTCGTCTTCTGAAAATCTGCAGAGCATATGTGTGAAATTTTCTCTCTATTTAGGGTGTTGTTTCTTCCAAAGGCTCAGCTGCTCTCCTTTAGCTGGTGGGGAGGCAGGGAGGAGGAGGGAATCCACCCAGCCCTAACTGTGCTGTGATTTATTTCTCTTCTAATCACCTTCCCCCATGGCCTCAGGCTGTGTGTGTTGCATGAAATCAGCCTCATAAGAGGTCCCAATTTTAGGTTCCCTTCACCCAGGGGGGATGTAAATATTTGATTAATTTTACTGTCCCATTCCATCTGGGCTTAATTCCTCTAAGCACCCAGTTTCCTGTGTGGCCATAGGCACAGAGGGGACTGGAGTTGCCCTATGGTGTGGAGAGCACAAATATTACCGCATAAATGCCTTAAGGCCCATCTACCTATTGAAATGGTCTCACCTGGTAAGTTGACATAAGACAAAACACAAAATCTTCACAAAAAATAAACTTAGAGGAATTCTGGGAAGGGAAAGACTATTAGGCATCTAGGAAGTCACTGTAGCCCTGACCTTTCGCTTTGATCCCTGTTCTGGAGGGTCAATTCCTTTCAGGGCGTAAAAAGCATGGTTTTCCTTCCCAGGGGTCACTGTAGATGTCTGCCACCCCTACTCACTATCACCCAGGGGGAGGAGGGCTGTGATGTCATTTTGTGTCCTCAGCATGCTGCTGGCAACACAGCATTCATTGAATGAGTGAATGTGTTTTTGAACTGAACTGGGGTCCACTTGCCCAGCACAGCGAAGCCAAACACTGACAATGAGATTGGAGCAAGAGAAGGGGAGGTAATTTATTGCAGGGCGCCAAGCAAGGAGAATCAGGCAGCTCGCACTTAAAACCCAAACTCCCAGATGGCTTAGAGGTAAGGGCTTTTAACGGGATGAGGCAGAGGTTATAGGCAAAGTCATAAATCTATACATGGAGACTATACATCAGTCTGCCTAGAAAAGCAGGACATCTCGAAGTGGGGGCCCACAGGTCAAAAGGTGGATTGAAAGGTGTTTTGATTTGCGATTGGTTAAGGAGGCAAAGCTTTGTCTAAAAATTTGGGATTAGCCTGGGTGAAGTGGCTCACACCTGTAATCCCAGCACATTGGGAGGCCAAAGTAGGAGGATCACTTAAGGCCAGGAGTTCAATACCAGCCTGGGCAATATAGTGAGATACCGTTTCTATAAAAATACTTTTAAAAAATTAGCCAGGCATGGTGGTACATGCCTGCAGTCCTAAATGCTTGGGAGGCTGAAGCAGGAAGATTGCTTGACCCAGGAGTTTGAGGCTGCAGTGAGCTGTGATTGCATTACTGCACTCCAGCCTGGGCAACAGAGCGAGACTCTGTCTTTTTAAAAAAAAAACAAAACCTTTTTTTCTTTTAGATCAGCAGAAAAGAATGTTAGCTCTGGTTTGTGGGTGTGACCTCCTTCAGGGCCCTCAGGAAGAAATTTAGAAAAAAGAAGAGCTGTCAGAGTTCAATCCTTTATTCCCTCTTATCTGAGGTCTGCATGCCAGCAGATCCATTGTTTGGGGTCTGAGTTTCTAAAAAGCAACTCAGGGACATATGGTCCCTAAGAGGGGTCCCTGCTCATCTCAAACGAATGAATGAATAAATGATTTACTCTACAAGCCCTTACCCAGAGAAATAACAGATATACTCTAAGAATACCCTCATGGAATGGGACGAGAGGTATTTTCTCACCAGCTTGACTGCTAAGCTTAAGTTTGCCTTGTGTATTCACTGCATGGTCTTCCCCAAAGATCTGCACTTCAGTGAGTGAACCCTTTGTAAACAACACCCCTGCTGCCTGAGCCCACATCCCCATCCTTCGACCCCCAATCAGTATTTCTCTGTGCTCCACTTCTTTCCTACCCTTCACCCGCCTGGGTCATGCCTCCATCCTTTCAGAGCACCGCAAGATAGTGCAGGATCCACTGTGGTGTGGAAGTGGGTCTAGCACCAGAATTGACCAGAGTCAGAGAAGTAATGAAAAGAAAAAGGACAGAGAGGCAGAGCTAGAACTTTGCGATGAAGCCATAAATGAGCTTGTTTTCGTTTCAACATGTTAGTATGGCTACTTTAATTCATCTGATATCAAATGCTCAACTGAGAATGCTTTCTAACTTTAATTTTCTGAGCCTCAATTTCTTCATTAATAAACTAGGGATAAAGCATCAATCTTGAATTAGCTATGTAGTGATAATTAAATAAGAGAATGGACTCAGAAATATTTTGTAAGCTATAACTCATTATGTGGCCAGGCGCAGTGGCTCGCACCTGTAATCCCAGCACTTTGGGAGGCTGAGGCTGGGGTGATTACTTGAGTCCAGGAGTTTGAGACCAGCCTGGCTAACATGGTGAAACCCCCATCTCTACTAAAAAATAGAAAAATTAGCCAGGCGTGGTGGCATGCGCCTGTAGTCCCAGCTACTTGGGAGGCTGAGGCAAGAGAATCACTTGAATCCGGGAGGTAGAGGCTACAATGAGCTGAGATTGCACCACTGTAATCCAGCCTGGGTAACAGAGCAAGACTCCTGTTTCAAAAACAAAACAAACAAAACAAAACAAAAAACTACAACTCATTATGTAAGTACAAATAATAAGTGTTATTCTATAAAGACCTCACTACTCTTGATCTTGAGAAAAACTTGGGGTGAATAAGAGAAAAACCACCTTCATATTATGAATTAACTGGTTATTTAAAATGAATTGAACTCTTTTCTCCTCCTTCTCTTCCTCATTCTTTTTTCCCCACGATTCATCCAGAAAACTAAACTTTATAATCGTATTATCTACATTGCTTTGTATTACAGCCCAGTTGTTTTCCAGCTGTTTCACATGGATGAAATAAGACAGTACATATGAGAAGCCTCCAAACTGTAAAAGGCTGTACACATTAAGGCAGAATTTTAGTGGCCCTGTGCATTGACTCCCAGGAATTAGGAAAAAGCCATTTTAAGGGCAGTGTGGCATCACCCAGGTGTGAGAGGTTGACTTAGGACTCAAGGTCAGTGTCGATCTTTTTGGCCATGGAAATGGAGAGCAAGCCCTGAAATTGTTGGGGGCAGAGTAATCCAGCGCCTGTGCTTGGTGCTCTGAGTTTATGGGAGGGGTATTTATTCACCAGTGGCCTAACAGATTGAGTCTATAGTCCTGCTGACAACTTGAAGGTCTTCAGATGGCTGGGGACTGACCTCACCTGTGGGGCCTTTCCACTTTACCACTCTGGGTGCCAGACACTGTCTGCCAGGCCATGGAGCAGATGGTAAGGGCTGCGAGGAAACAGGATGTGGGCCTGTTACAGGGGTGAGCGTGGAGATTTTGCAGCTCACGTAGGAAGTCCAGACCTGCAAATCCAAGAGGCCAAGTGGGGAAGTAAGGAGGGTGGAGTAGTCACTTCATTCCTTCAAGACCCGAGAGGCAAAATTCTACCCAAGAATCAAAAAGGAGCTTTGACCTTTCTGCACAAGCAGAAATGATGGAATTCAATTCCAGGAAGAGATGAGTATGTGGGTGGATGGCCACTGCCACTCAGGATGGTAGTTGCAAAGTTGTAGCCAATCTGAGTTCACTGCTTCAGCAGCCCCTGCAGACGTGATGAGAAGTGTAGTGGTCAGAGACAGAAGAGATGTGGGGATGAAGCGAACCTTTGGTATTCATCTGTCATAGGCTGATCTGGGAACAGAAAGGAAGTAGCATGCAAAGGCAGTCCATGGTGCCATGATAGGTGGCACAAAGGGCTTAGGGCCACAGTTGGGGATAATGTTCAGGGAATTAATGCACCATGGGTTTTTTAATGTAGGTTTTATTATTATTATTTAGATATAGTAAGGCCAACAGATCAGGAAATATCTACTATTGAAAAGAGTTTGTCTGTCATAGATCCAAGAAGAGAGAGCATTCTGTGCTGTACAGGACCACGGGGGGAAGCACTGGGCTTGATCAGGAGGCAGAGGGATGTGAGAGCCTGTGGGCAGGAGCTTTATTGTGGTTTCTATAGGAAGGAACTGGCAGGGCAGGGCAAACAAGCTTAGGCTTGGCTGGTTTGAATAATTTCAGTGTGCTCTGGGGCATGGAGAGGCAGGTGGATAGTGGCCAGACCATGACAGCTCATAGGGGAGATGGTGGCAGTGGGGGCTCTGGATGGGTTGGTTTGCATATAGAAGGCACTGGTCCTTTACTCTCTGTAGGAATTGGTTAACCTGGGAGGAGCAGTCTCTCCAGGGTCCACAAGGTCCTAAGATGTCAAAGAATCGGAATAAAGAAAATAAAAGACATGGTTTCTACAATGAGACTGCAGAATTCTGTTTAGGGGCGGTAAGGGGAAATCCTGGAGAAAGTTGGCAGAGAGGAAACGACAGAAGGAGTGTGTCCAGAGTGAAGTCATGGCTCAGCCACACACTGTGTCAACCTCCCTTGCCACGAGGCCGGCCCCTCCCATGAGGCCTGTGCGCCCTCTCTGCCAGCCACGTTCAGCACAGCCAGCTGTGATTTATCCAGAATTGCTGTTTAGATGCAGAGTGGGTGGAGGCAGGACATTTTCATGCAGCCATTTGATTAAATGACCACTACAGAATACAAACACAT
The DNA here is from genome assembly GCF_000001405.40 of Homo sapiens. Classification (NCBI taxonomy): domain Eukaryota; kingdom Metazoa; phylum Chordata; class Mammalia; order Primates; family Hominidae; genus Homo; species Homo sapiens. The sequence continues at coordinate 230,508,407 of NC_000001.11, forward strand.
TTTTTTGTTGTTGTTAGTAAGATTTCAAACTCATGCGAAGGCATATGTTGTGTGGGTTTTGTCATTTTGTGTATAAGTGAATCATCAGTGGCTTCAATAGTTTCTTAATTTTTTAAAACTAGAATCAGAATATAATTTATGGAATTTTATAGTTAGAAGTACCCTAAACCTTACATCATCCAAGCCTGTCTTTTTACATATGAAGAAGCTAAGGCTCAGAGAGATGTATAGCGCTGTTAACAGAAAAACCAAAATCTGTAAAATGTTTTATTCTGAGCCAATAAGAGTGACCACAGCCCAGTGAAAACACAATCTCAAGAAGCCTTGAGTAAGTGGTCCTGTGGTGGTCAGATTAAAGTTTGGTTTTGTACATTTTAGGGAGGCAGAAGTTACAGGCAGTCATAAATCTAAACATGGAGGTTGGCCAGGCACAGTGGCTCATGGCTGTAATCCCAGCACTTTGGTAGGCTGAGGTGGGTGGATCACCTGTGGTCAGGAGTTCAAGACCAGCCTGGCCAACATGGTGAAATCCCATCTTTAATAAAAATACAAAAATTAGCTGGGCATGGTGGCAGGCACTTGTAATCTCAGCTACTCACTCGGAAGGCCGAGACATGAGAATTGCTTGAATTCCAGAGGCGGAGGTTGCAAATGACCCCAGATCACGCAATGGCACTCCAGCCTGGGTGACAGAGACTTCATTTAAAAAAAAAAATTAGGAAAAGATACCATATTTGTAAAAGATAGATAGATCGGACCATCTGAAATTGGGAGCTGTCATTTTTTTGGTTGCCAAGGAGCCAACGCCTCTTGTTATTTGGGAGCATCCTCTGTTATGCATGCCTCAGTGGGAAGCAGAGCTCTGCTTTTGCACCATGAAAGCTGTTCTGACACCAATTCTGGGATATCAGGTGGGTGTCCAGCAATTCAGTTCAATTCTGATGCTCACCACCCAGGGTCTGTGCATACCCCACAGGTTTAAGGGATCAGTTCTCCGTAAGATTGTCCTTGTTACCAAACACCAGCAGTTCAGTCTAGGCCCTTTGCTCACTGCACAGAAAGCCAATCCCTGAGACAAGTTTTGCTGGGGAAGAAGCCTTTATTCGGGTGATGTCAGCTGCCTCCTCTGCCTCCAACTAAAATGAGGGGTTAATATAGCTGGGAAGGGAAAGAGTAAGGAAAGGAAGAGGAGTTGGTCAGCAGGAAGCAGATGGTGGGTTAGGCAGTCGTGAGGGGTCTGGTGTCTCCCTGTCTGGATGTGGTGATTCAGTAAGTTTCACTTCCCTGATACCATCTGGGAGGCCAGAAGGAACTCAGACACACAAATGTAACTTTCAGGCTGAACCCTGGAAGGGTCAATTTCTATGTTTACTCAAAAAAAACCCCATAAACATCTGTTCTATGGGGAAATTGGGCCGGTTTCATCCTCACTTCAGATGCCAGCCACACATCTCAGGGGCTGCCTGCATGTCTGACTCACTGGCTACAAATTCGGGCCACAACCCCTGAGGTTCAAGAGCTGACTAAAATGACTCACAGAACTCACTGACAGTGCTGTATTTAGGATTACAGTTTTATTACAAAGGATAGAAACAGACAGATGAGGAGACACACAGGACAAGGTCCAGGAGGGTCATGAGCACAGGAGCTTCTGTCCTGTGTTCACCCACCTGGTTTAATGGAGAGACAGGATGGGGTAAATCACTGGCCACGTGATGGAACTCAACCTCCAGCCACCTTCTTCTCCCTGGAGATCAGAGGGTCTGGCTGAACTTCCAACCCTTTAACCATAGGCTTGGTCTTTCTGGCATGGCCAGTCCCTCCCTTGAAGCTGTTTAAGGGACCATAGAGTCACCTCCTTAGCATAAACTCGGGTATGGCTGAAAGGGGCTTGTAATGAATAGCAAAACATACTCCTATCCCTTGGGGAGTCCCAAAGGTTTTAGAGTTAACTCCCAGGAATGAGGGACTAAGACCAGACAAATTCTTTATTATACCTCAGAAGCCAAAGAAGCCCCATATTTCTCTCCAGGCATGGACATGTCCCAGGCTTTGTCCTGGTGCTTCCACTGGTGTGTGTGTGTGTGTTGTTGTTGTTGTTGTTGTTGTTGTCCGAAAGCCCAGGGATGGCTAAACAGTAGAAAGGAGAGTTTTACTGTCAATATCAGTTTGCAAATCAGCAAGAGATAGTCTCTGGCATGGACAAAAGTTACCCTCTCTTCTAAGAGGGAAAGGGCAGGATGGGTCTTATGCCTCACAGGGCCTGTATTACACAATGGAGCCATACATATTCAGCAGGTTTGAGGGAATAGCTATGCATATTTATAAGGGAGCTGGGCACATGCACAATGAGTGAACATATATGTAACATACATCCCATGTTCACTTTGGGGCAGGGTTTTAGCATTAAAATGAGGTGGAATTTGACTCTTAACATCAAAAGGTGAACTATAAGACCCAAAGGCAATTTGTGCACAGCCTCTATAGGCTGCTGAAACTGGCTTAAGATCTGCAGTTGCTTATCAGAAAATAACATTTGTAAGTCCGGTCCTCTGTCCAACAGAGTTGCAGTGGTCTGAGCTGTCAATCAGAGTTAGGAAGGGTCTGACAATCTGCCTGCTAGCTCCTATTGTTAGGGAGTTTAGCAAAGGTGCAGTTTTCCTGGTAGCTATAGGGATTCAGGGAGTTGCTGTGCCAGGTGGCCCTGAACCCTTGTCCCATAGGTAACTTTTGTTTCCTTAACATTAGAGTTCCCCTTAGTTGATAAAGGAGTGTCTGTTTTGGTCTCTCAATAGCATACATAGACACATACACATGCATTTACATTTAGAAAAATAGAAAAATATCTGGAAGAATATACCAAATTATATCTTTTAAAGAAGCTGTCTCTTTGGGGCAGGATTGTAGTTGGCTTACACCTTCTTTGTGCCTTTTTGTTTTCATTTAGTCTCAAGATGTACAATTTATAGATAGCACTTTTATAATCCAATCCCTGTAGATCTATTTTCTTCAGTTTTTAAAAGAGCACTTTATTGAGGAATGACTCACCTACAAAGTTGTATATATTTAATGTATACAACTTAGTGAGTTTTGAGACAAGTATAAACCCATGCAAACGTCACCATAGTTTATGCCATAAATCTATCCATCAACTCCAAAAGTTTCTTCCCATTCTCTCTAATTATTATTATCATTATTATTATTTTGTGATAAGAACACATAAGATACACTCTCTTAGCAATTTTTCTTTAAGTATAAAATACAGTGTTGTTTACCATAGGCATGGTGCTGCACAGTAGATGTCCGGGGCTTATTCATCTTGTATAACCAAAGCGCTGTGCCCTTTAGCTAATGCTCTGCGTTTCTTCTTGCCTCAGCCCCTGGCAACCACCATTCCACTCTTCCCTTCCATGAGTTTGACTATTTTAGATTCATCATAAGTTGGGATCACATAGTGTTTGTCCCACTGTGACTGGTTTATTTTACTTGGCATGATGTCCTCCAAGTTCATCAATATTGTCACCAATGGCAGGACTTTCTTATTTTTCTAAGACTGAATAATATTCTATATTATATATACAGTACCACATTTTCTTTATCAGTTCACTCACGGGTGGACATTTAGGTTGCTTCTGTGGGCTGGCTATTGTGAATAATGTGCAATGAACAGGAAAATGTAGTTGTCTCTGAGATACTAATTTTTTTTTTTGAGATGGAGTTCCGCTCTTGTTGTCCAAGCTGGAGTGCAATGGCATGATCTCGGCTCACTGCAACCTCCACCTCCTGGGTTCAAGTGATTCTCCTGCCTCAGCCTCCTGAGAGCTGGGATTGCAGGCACCCACCACCAGGCCCAGCTAATTTTTTGTATTTTTAGTAGAGGCGAGGTTTCACCATGCTGGCTAGGATGGTCTCAAACACCTGACCTCAGGTGAGCTGCCCGCCTCAGCCACCCAAAGTGCTGGGATTAGAGGCATGAGCCATTATTCCTGGCCATGAAACTCTAATTTCAGTTCCTTTGGATATATACCCAGATATGAGATTGCTGCATTGTATTGTAGTTCTAGTTTTGATTTTTTTAAAAAAACCTCCATATTGTTTTCGATAGCAGCTGCACCAATTCACATTCCCCCTAACAGTGTATGGGGTTCCCTTTCCTCCACATCCTTGCCAACATTTCTTATCTTTTGTGTTTTTTAAATGTTATTTTAGATTTGGGGGTATATGTGCATGTTTGGTATGTGGATATACCAGTGGGGAGTGGGTTTCTAGTGTGCCCATTACTCAAATAGTGAACACTGTACCGGATAGATTATTTTTTAACCCTCATCCCCTTCCCACCCTCCCCTCTTTTGGAGACTCCAGTGTCTATTGTTTCCATCTTTATGCCGTGTGTATCCATTGTTTAGCTCCCACTTATAAATGAGAACATGCAGCATTTGATTTTCTGTCTCTGAGTTAATTCACTAAGGATAATGACCTCCAGCTCCATCTATGTTGCTGCAAAGGAAAGGATTTCATTCTTTTTTATGGCTGATACAGATCTATTTTCAACCGGGTAAAACACCAAAGCTCACTCTTTGCTTGTTAAACTGCATCTGAGTTTCCTTACACTACAATAGCAGCATCAGGGCATGTCACATCCAGTCCTGCCAGTGTGAGATTCCCAGCTCTTTGCTGTCCTCAGAAGGAGGAGGTGTCACTGAGCCACAGGAAGGAGTCTGGGGACCGCTCTCCATTTATGCATCTGGCTGACCCTCTCTGTGCCCATTTTCTTACAGGGTTAAGGTGCTTGAACACAGGTTACATGAAAGGCAGTAAAACCTTGAACAGAAAATCAGGCACAAGTACAGTGACTGCCGGTGTGGATTTAGAAACAAGGCTCCTGAAGAAAATGCTCCTAGCCACAGGCACTAGCACTGGCCTTACATGCACTGTATTAGTCCGTTCTCACATTGCTATAAAGAACTACCTAAGACTGGGTAATTTATAAAGAAAAGAGGTTTAGGCTGGGCATGGTGGCTCATTCCTGTAATCCCCACACTTTTGAAGGCCAAGGCAGGTGGATCACTTAAGGCCAAGAGTTCGAGACCAGGCTGGCCAACATAGTGAAACCCCAGCTCTATTAAAAACACAAAAATTAGCTGGGCATGGTGGTGCACACCTGCAGTCCCAGCTACTCGGGAGGCTGAGGGATGAGAATCACTTGAACCCAGGAGGTGGAGGTTGCAGTGAGCCGAGACCGCACCACTGCACTCCAGCCTGGGTGACAGAGTAAGACTCTGTCTCAAAGAAAAAAAAAAGAAAATAAAAGAAAAGAGGTTTAATTGACTCACAGTTTCACAGGGCTATGAAGCCTCAAGAAACTCACAGTCATGGTGCAAGGTGAAGGGGAAGCAAGGCATGTCTTACATGGTGGCAGGAGAGAGGGAGAGAGAGCAAGTGAAGGGGGAGGTACCACACATTTTTAAACAACTAGATCACGTGAGAACTCACTATCACAAGAACAGCATGGGGGAAATCCGCCCCCATGATCTAATCACCTCCCACCAGGTTCTTCCTCTGACATATGGGGATTACAATTCAATATGAGATTTGGGTGGGGACACAGAGCCAAACCATATCATGCACCCAAGACAAAACCAGTGTAGTAGAAGACAGCAACGGCTTGGAGACCGGCCAGTGTGGGTTCCAATGTAGGCCACGCAGTTTAGTGATTTGAGGAACCTTCTACCTCTGTGAAAATTAGTATGACTTCATAGGATTGCTGCAAAATTAAATGAGACAATGTATGTGAATGCTTAGTTCCTAACATGCAGTAAGTGATCATTAAAAATGAGCTGTCTCTGGCTGAATTGAGAGAGACAGAAAACAGGAAGCATTGGCAAGGGTGTGGAACACCAGATGCTCATACACTGCTGGGTGGGGTGTCCCTTGGTACCACCACTTTGGAACACTGGTGCTATGGTTTGAATGTCCCCTCCAAAACTTAGGTTGAAACTTGATCCCCAATGTGGCAATGTTGGGAGGTGGGGTCTTTAAGAGATGATAGGATCATGAGGGCTTTCATGAGTTAATGGGTTAGTGGATTAATGGGTTATCATGGGAGTGGGACTGGTGGCTTTATAAGAAGAGGAAAAGAAACCTGAGTTAGTATGCTGAGTCCCCTTGCCATGTGATGCCCTCTGCTACCTCAGGACTCTGCACAGTCTCCATCAACAAGAAAGCCCTCACCAATTACAGCCCCTTGACTTGAAGTTCTTAGCCTCCACAACTGCCAGAAATAAATTCCTTTTTTTTATACATTATCCAGTTTCATGTATTCTTACATAAGCAACAGAATATAGACTAATACAACAGGTTACTAAAGCTGAATTTATGCATCCCTCTGACCCAGAAGTTCCATTAATAAGTACAGACCCAACAGAAATGCATATAAATATGCACCAAAATGCATGTAAAAGAATGTTCAAAGCAACATTGTTCATATGGGGCAGACGTGAAAACCTCTTAAATGGGCATCAACAATAGAATAGATAAGCCATCTGTGGTGCAGTCCCACAATGCACTACCCAGCATCAAGGACAACAAACTGCATCCACAGACAACAGGGTTGACCCTCACAAACATATTTTTGAGCCAAGAAGCCACACACAAGAGGCATATAAAGAACAAAAGTGGGTGAGACTAACCCAGGAGGTTAGAAGGCAGGATCAAGAGAGGCCACCCTTGCTGGGAAAGGTGCCGGGGACTGTGGGCTGGGGGGCACCCATGTGAACTTCTGCTTCTTGATGTAGGTGCTAGTTACACAGGCAACTCTGTTGATAAAATGTATCAGGCTGTATACTTATTATGCTCTATGCAAATTTCTATATGTGTATTAAAATTCAATAAATGTTTTTAAAAAGAAGACATAGTTTAAAAAACTGGATATAGGATGTTCTGATGCTGCTGCTGAGGCATAAGGAGATTCTGATGCAGTTTAATAAGCAAAGAGTGAACTTTTGTGTTTTAGTTGGATGAAAGTTTACAAAAAATAGTGGGGTGTGATGGTGCACCTGTAGTCCCAGCTAGTTGGGAGGCTAAGGCAGGAGGATGGCTTGAGCCCTGGAGTTTGAAGCTGTAGTGTGCTATGATCACTCCAGACTGAGAAACACAGCGAGACCCTATTTCTAAAACAAAACAATTCTTTAGCTATTTTTAGTATCCCTCTCAGTATCACTCTGCTCAGGGGAGGACAGCAGGTTTGTATGTGCGGATGCATCCTCTTTGCAAATTCATTCAGCTCAGTTACACAGAACTCATGACATTTTCTCAAGATGACTAGCTGCTTTGGGTGATGCGCACAGGTTATTTGGGGGACGCAGAAATCTGTCACATTTGACCATCTCACCCCTGTGGCCAAAATAATCCGGAATCCCAGCTTGGTCTGGGCTGCACTCCCTGGGGGAAGAACTCAGAAAGGAAGGAGCTGTGTGCTCAGGTGACACCTCCTCCCTGGACTCTGTCCTGCCGCAGCACCTGCTGCCTTCAGCAGACCAGGCTGAGCTGTTCCCACTGAATGCACCCTTAGCCCTGTGCTCCACAAGGGGCCTGCAAAATGCAGGATCTCACTAAGCTTAAAGAAAACCAGGAATTTCAGAGACGAACAAGAAAGAGGAGTGCTCCTCTGAAGTGAATCAGTCCCTGCAATCCAGCACATATTCGACGAGGTATGCATGCAAGTGTGCTTTGTTTGAAGAGCCCTACTTTAAGATGGGAAATGTGTATGAGGACAGAGGAATCTTCCCGTTTACAGAACAATTCCCTTCTGCCTTCCCCCTTCCTTCCCTCTCATAGCTGGTTAAATGAAAGGGGCAGAAGACTTTCAAAGTGTGTTAAAAGCCAGTGTTCTAAATAAGCCATTTTTTTTTTCCTTTTAAAATGTTCTTTTTTGGTATTTGTTTGGCATGCCGTAGTCCTTGGTAAAATTCTTTCAGAAAATTTCAGGAGATCTCAATTTACTAAAGGGAAAGAGAATTGCCCCATGGCTTCATAATAGTAGAATTCAAAGTCAGAGAAATGGTGGCTTGGAAAACCTAAGGGAAAATGCTGGGGACATTTTCCTATATACACTTTTAAAGTTCAGAATAACATGCTCACAGAAAATTGCAGAAGTCAAAGTATATGGTTTGAGAAATATTCATGTAACCACCATCCAAATAGACAATTACCCTCCTCCCAGTCATGTCCATACCCTTCCAGCATTACAGATTAATTGTGCCTTGTTTTGAAATATCAACTAAAAGTGGGATCGCACCAAACGTATAATTTGTGATGGCTTCTTTTGCTCAATGTTATGCTGGTGGATTCACCACATTGTTAAGTATGGTAGCATTTCACTCACTTTTAATGCTGTCAAAAGAATGCATTTTTTTTCTTTCAAAGTGTTAATACTGGTTATCTCTAGGTGATGGAAGTTTCTTTTATCAATACATAATAGTTGTACATATTTTGGGGGTACATGTGACTTTTTGGATACCTGCATACAATGTGTAATGATCAAATCAGGGCAATTGGGATATTCATTACCGCAAACACTTCTCTTTATATTGGGAACATTCACAAGAATACATTTTTGACACGCATCCATTGCAATCCTGAGGCAGGCAGCCCGGGCCTCTCTGTGAGAGATACTGCACCAGACCCAGGCGGCACAGCTCACAGCCCTGTTCTTCGGGACCTTAGAATCACAACGGCAGAAAACATAAAAATAGCCCCTCAAGAACCAGAGCCAGGTCCTGAGTTTAACTGAGGTCAGGAGCAATTTTGCAACCCCCTGGCTATAATCTAAAGTAATGCTGTGGAGAAGCTAGAGGTTGGAAATTGCTTTTTTCCCCATGGGGTCAGCAATATCAAAATCCCGGAGGAAAGAAGGTGTGTGTGTGTTGTGTGTGTGTGTGTGTGTAAGTGAATGTGTATGTGTGTGAGCATGTGTGTGTGTGTGATGGGCTGAACAAAATTAATATGTTGAAGTCCTAACTCCTAGTACCGGAGAATGTGACTGTATTCACAGATAAGGTCCTTCAAGTGGTAATTAAATTAAAATGAGGTCATTAGGATAGGCCCTCATCCAACATGACTGGTATTCTTATAAGATGAACTGTGGACACAGACACACACAGAGGGAAGACAGTGTGAGGATGCAGGGAGAAGCTGACCATCTACCAGACAAGCACAGAGGACTCAGAGGAAGCCGATCCTGCCGACACCCGGACCTCAGACTTCCAGCCTCCAGAACGTGAGAGTCAATTCTTGTGATTTAAGCCACCCAGCGGGCCGGACTTTGTGATGGTCGCCTTGGCACATTGATACAGTGTGTGTGCATGCATGTGTTTCATCTTTTCTTACCAGACCTAAAATGTGCTTTGCAGGGAGCAGGAGCTTGGCACACCTGCGGAATGTAAGTGCTGTGTGTAATTGGTGACTCAGGCAGGAACAGGTGCTCACAACTGACATTCCCAGGCCCTCCTCTCCCACCTTGGTTTGGAGGCCTCCTCCAACCTGCACCTCACCCCCTCCTCTCTCAGCTGACTGCCAGCTGCCTGGACTAAGCTGGCTGAGCTGTGCCAAATTGAGTGGCAGCTCTGAACAGATGCAGGCCTGGCAGGCTCCCTGGGGGCATCTGGAGGGGAAAGAGAACCATCCTGAAATGGCAGGAAAAACACTTCTCCCTGGCAGCGCAGAGCAGATGGGGGTGGGGCAATTGCCAAACAGGCTTGAGAGAAACAAAAGATGCTTCATGCAATACGACTCAATTCAAAAAACGGAAACAAAACAGATTCATCTTCCTCACCATCAAAACTCTTTTGACAAATTGAATCAATGAATAGAATCTTTTCTCTTTTCTTTTTTCGCCCATGCTGGCCTCAAACATTTGGGCTCAAGAGATCCTCCTACTGAAGCCTCCCATGGAGCTGGGGCTGTAGGTACAAGCCACTGCACCTGGCTTCAACTAATAGAATCTTTATCCTAATTTCAGGTCCCTTTAAGAACAGCCAGTGAAAAGGGTAAGCAGGAGACTCACACTAGATGTGGTTGACATCTTGGATCAGTAAGGAAAGAGTAGCCAGAAGCAAGGGGAAAGGCGTATCCTTCCTCCTTTTGATGGTTTAGTTCTAATATGTATTGTGACAAACAACCTCAGGTGTTTGAGTGAATTTGTGGCTCTGTGGGAGGTTTTGTGTAAGAGTTCAGGCCCTCAGCTGACAGGTGCCCCCGAGGTCCCTCTATCAGCACGTTGTGTTAATAAGTAGCAGTGGCTTCTGTATGAAGAAAAGCCCCACCCCGGGCTCAGCCACTTGAGTTTTAAGAATGCGTAATCACTGCCTTTGTTTTCTACAAGAGAGCTGGCTTTAGGTTAGGTCAAAATTCCTGTGAAGTTAGGAATTTCTACATCCAAGTTAATCCTTACAAAGTGTGTTACTCTCCTCTGTACTCCTACAACCTCAGGATAACCTATACCTCTGAGATAGGAGTTCAGCGTCTGGTTTCACAAGATATAGGTCACAAAGACCCCGTGGATAAAACATGATGCTGTAAAGAAGCTGCCAAGGCCGGGTACGGTGGCTCACGCCTGTAATCCCAGCACTTTGGGAGACCGAGGCGGGCAGATCATGAGGTCAAGAGATTGAGACCATCCTGGCCAAAATGGTGAAACCCTGTCTCTACTAAAAATACAAAAATTAGCCGGGCACGGTGGCGGGTGCCCGTAGTCGCAGCTACTGGGGAGGCTGAGGGAGGAGAATCACTTGAACCCGGGAGGCGGAGGTTGCAGTGAGCTGAGATTGCGCCACTGCACTCCAGCCTGGCAAGAGAGTGAGACTCCATCTCAAAAAAAAAAAAAAAAAAAGCTGCCAAAACTGCCGAATCCAAGATGGCAATGAAAGCAACCTCTGGTCATCCTCACTGCTCATTACATGCTAATTATAATACATTAGCATAGTAAAAGTTCCACCTGCTCAGCTCATGACAGTTAACAAATGGCATGGCAACATAGGAAGTTACCCTATATGGTCTGAAAATGGGAGGACCCCTCAGTTCTGAGGAATTTCCCACCCTTGTCCTGGAAAACTCATGAATAATGTACCTCTTGTTTAGCATATGATCAAGAAATAACCATAAAAATAGCCAACCAGTGGCCTGCGAGGCTGCTCTGCCTATGGGGTGACCACACTTGTATTCCTTTACCTTCTTAATCAACTTTTTTTTACTTTACTCTGTTGGCTCACTCTTGAATTCCTGTGTGAAGCCAAGAACCAAGATAGCCTCTCAGGCTGAACCCCAATTTTGGGGTTTGCCCTGTGACACCTCCACATCGAATACACAAGACAATTTTTGACATGTCTGTATGCGTTTCTTCTGTAAGAGTTCAAGAAATGGGAAGACTTTCTAAAAGCAGTTACATGTTTTGAATTGGTGCCCAGTCCAAAACGCTGACAATACCAAATGCTGGTGAGGACTGAAACTGCCCTTGCAAAATTATGACAGTGAGAGAAATCTAACATAATTGACTCCATCTTGCTTCTAACCTTCAAGCTATCCTTGCTCTTTGCTGAGTGTGGGCCAAACTAACCTTGGGACAAATTTTGTTTATAGTTTAAATGATAATAGCCCTTCCCCAAAACTAAACTGCCCTTGTAAAACTAATGAAAGACCACTAGGTTAGGAGGATGAGAGGGGCCTGAATTCTACTAAGACGTAGGCATAGGTTAAAAATTACTAGCTATTATTCCAGAGGTCAGAAGATTTGCAACTTCCCCAATTACCCCTGTACATAACATCACTATTGTAGAACCTAGGATTGGCCTTTTGAGATGTCTTTGCAGACATTTGCATTTCTGATGACTGGATGGCCCCACCGAGACCAGTGACTCCTCTGTGGGCCTCACCCAAAAGTGAACTCAATACTTAAGGACCATTTTTCACAACCCTATGATTGTATCCCCAACGATTCAGCAGCACCCATACCCTACTTCCCTGCCCATCAAACTATCTTTGAAAAACCTCAGCCTCCAAATTTTTGAGGTGATTGATTTGAACAATAACTCCGTCTCTTGCGTTGTGTGGCCAGCCTCGTGTCAATTAAACTCTTTACTGCAAGAGTATGGTCTCAGTGAATTGATTTTGTCTGTGCAGAAGACAGGAAGAACTCGTTGGGTGATTACAGGATGTGGAGCAATGGGAACTCCACAAAATTCAGTGTGTTCTTACAATAGGATCCAGCAGTTAGCTCCTTGGTGTTTACCTAAATGAGTGGAAAACTTATGCCCCACAAAAACCTGCACACAGATGCGTTGATGAAAAAAGCCAAACTTTGTAAAATATTTGAAAAGGCTTATTCTGAGCCAAATATGAAGACCATGGCCCATGACACAGCCTCAGGAGATCCTGAGAATATGTGCCCAAGATGGTTGAATTACAGTTTGGTTTTATACATTTTAGGGAGACAGAAGTTACAGGCAAATACACAATATATTATGTACATGTAAGGTATACTTCAGCCAAGAAAGGTGGGACATCTCAAAGCAGGGGCTTCCAGATCATAGGGAGGATATAAAGATTTTCTGATTGCTAATTAATTGAAAGAGTTAAGCTTTGTCTGAAGAGTTGAAGTTAGCATAAAGAAATGCTTAAGTTACACTAAGGGAGGTTGTGGAAGCCAAGGTTCTTGTTATGTAGATGAAGCCTCCAGGTAGCAGGCTTCAGATAGAATAGATGGAAAATGTCTCATTGGATCTTTGTTTTTTATACTTTAAGTTCTGGGGTACATGTGCAGAACATGCAAGTTTGTTACATAGGTATACACATGCCATGGTGGTTTGCTGCACACATCAACCCATCATCTACATTAGGTATTTCTCCCAATGCTATCCCTCCCCAGCCCCCCACCCCCCGACAGGCCCCAGTATATGATGCCCCCCCACCATTTTCCATATGTTCTCATTGTTCAACTCCCACTTATGAGTGACAACAGGCGGTGTTTGGTTTTCTGTTCCTGTGTTAGTTTGCTGAGAATGACGGTCTCCAGCTTCATCCATATCCCTGCAAAGGACATGAACTCATCCTTTTTTATGGCTGCATAGAATTCCTTGGTGTATATGTGCTACATTTTCTTTATCCAGTCTATCACTGATGGGCATTTGGGTTGGTTCCAAGTCTTTGCCATCGTGAATAGTGCCACAATAAACATATGTGTGCATGTGTCTTTATAGTAGAATAATTTAGTAGAATAATTTATAATCTTTGGCTATATACCCAGTATGGGATAGCTGAGTCAAATGGTATTTCTAGTTCTAGATTCTTGAGGAATCGCCACACTATCTTCTACAATGGTTGAACAAATTTACACTCCCACCAAGAGTGTAAAAGCATCCTATTTCTCCAAATCCTCTCCAGCACCTGTTGTTTCCTGACTTTTTAATGATCGTCATTCTAACTGGCATGAGATGGTATCTCATTGTGGTTTTGACTTGCATTTCTCTAATGACCAGTGATGATGAGCTTTTTTTCATATGTTTCTCGGCTGCATAAATGTCTTCTTTTGAGAAGTGTCTGTTCATATCCTTTGCCCACTTTTTGACGGGGTTGTTTGTTTTTTTCTTGTAAATTCGTTTAAGTTCTTTGTAGATTCTGGTTATTAGCCCTTTGTCAGGTGAATAGATTGCAAAAATTTTCTCCCATTCTGTAGGTTGCCTGTTCACTCTGGTGATAGTTTCTTTTGCTGTTCAGAAGCTCTTTAGTTAAATTAGATCCCATTTGTCAATTTTGGCTTTTGTTGCCATTGCTTTTTTAGTCATGAAGTCTTTGGTGTTTTAGTCATGAAGTCTTTACCCATGCCTATGTCCTGAATGGTATTGCCTAGGTTTTCTTCTAGGGTTTTTATGGTTTTAGGTCTTACATTTAAGTCTTTATTTCATTTTGAGTTAATTTTTTTATAAGGTGTAAGGAAGGGATCCAGTTTCAGCTTTCTGCAAATGGCTAGCCAGTTTTCCCAACACCATTTATTAAATAAAGAATTCTTTACCGGTTGCTTGTTTTTGTCAGTTTTATTAAATAAAGAATTCTTTACCGATTGCTTGTTTTTGTCAGGTTTGTCAAAGATCAGATGGTTGTAGATGTGTGGTGTTATTTCTGAGGCCTCTGTTCTATTCCATTGGTCTGTTTTGGTGTATATCTGTTTTGGTACCAGTACCATGCTGTTTCGGTTTGAAGTCTATACTATATACTATAGTTTGAAGTCAGGTAGCGTGATGCCTCCAGCTTCGTCCTTTTTGCTTAGGATTGTCTTGGCTATATGGGCTGTTTTTTGGTTCCATATGAACTTTAAAATAGTTTTTTTCCCAATTCTGTGAAGAAAATCAATGGTAGATTGATGGGGATAGCATTGAATCTATAAATTACTTTGGGCACTATGGCCTTTTTCACAATATTGATTCTTCCTATCCATGAGCATGGAATGTTTTTCCATTTGTTTGTGTCCTATCTTATTTTCTTGAGCAGTGGTTTGTAGTTCTCCTTGAAGAGATCCTTCACATCCCTTGTAAGTTGTATTCCTAGGTATTTTATTTTCTTTGTAGCAATTGTGAATGGGAGTTCACTCATGATTTGGTTCTCTGTTTGTCTGTTATTGGTGTATAGGAATGCTTGTGAGTTTTGCATATTGATTTTGTATCCTGAGACTTTGCTGAAGTTGCTTATCAGCTTAAGGAGATTTTGGGCTGAGACTATGGGGTTTTCTAAATATACAATCGTGTCATCTGCAAACAGAGACAATTTGACTTCCTCTTTTCCTAATTGAATACCCTTTATTTCTTTATCTTGTCTGATTGCCCTGGCCAGAACTTCCAATACTATGTCGAATAGCAGTGGTGTGAGAGGGCATCCTTGTCTTGTGCCAGTTTTCCAGAGGAATGCTTCCAGCTTTTGCCCATTCAGTATGATATTGGCTGTGGGTTTGTCACAAACAGTTCTTATTATTTTGAGATATGTTCCATCAATACCTAGTTTTTTCAGAGTTCTTGTATGAAGGGCTGTTGAATTTTGACAAAGGCCTTTTCTGCATCTATTGAGATAATCATGTGGTTTTTGTGATTGGTTCCGTTTATGTGATGGATTACATTTATTGGTTTGTGTATGTTGAACTAGTCTTGCATCCCAGGGATGAAGCTGACTTGATCATGGTGGATAAGTTTTTTGATGTGCTGCTGGATTCAGTTTGCCAGTATTTTATTGAAGATTTTAGCATTTATGTTCATCAGGGATATTGGCCTCTTTTTTTGTTTTGTCTCTGCCAGGTTTTGGTATCAGGATGATGCTGGCCTCATAAAATGAGTTAGGGAGGATTCCCTCTTTTTCTATTGTTTGGAATCATTTCAGAAGGAATAGTACCAGCTCCTCTTTGTATCTCCGGTAGAATTCGACTGTGAATCCGTCTCGTCTTGGATTTTTTTTTTTTTTTTTTGGTTGGTAGGCTATTAATTACTGCCTCAATTTCAGAGCTTGTTATTGATCTATTCAGGGATTCAACTTCTTCCTGGTTTAGACTTGGGAGTGTGTATGCGTCCAGGAATTTATCCATTTCTTCTAGATTTTCTAGCTTACTTGCATAGAGGTGTTTATAGTATTCTCTGATGGTAGTTTGTATTTCTGTGGGATGGGGGTGATATCCTCTTTATCATTTTTTATTGTGTCTATTTGATTCTTCTCTATTTTCTTCTTTATTAGTCTGGCTAGTGGTCTATCTATTTTGCTAATCTTTTCAAAAAACCAGCTCCTAAATTGATTGATTTTTTTGTAGGGTTTTTCGTGGTTCTGTCTCCTTCAGTTTCGCTCTGATGTTAGTTATTTATTGTCTTCTGCTGGCTTTTGAATTTGTTTGCTCTTGCTTCTCTAGTTTTTTTAAGTGTGATGTTAGGGTGTTGATTTTAGATCTTTCCAGCTTTCTCTTGTGGGCATTTAGTGCTATAAATTTCGCTCTACACACTCCTTTAAATGTGTCCCAGAGATTCTGGTATGTTGTATCTTTTTTCTCATTAGTTTCAAAGAACATTTTTATTTCTGCCTTCATTTTGTTATTTACCCCATAGTCATTTAGGAGCAGGTTGTTCAGTTTCCATGTAGTTGTGCAGTTTTGAGTGAGATTCTTAATCCTGAGTTCTAATTTGATTGCACTGTGGTCTGAGAGACTGTTTGTTATGATTTCCATTCTTTTGGATTTCCTGACAAGTGTTTTACTTCCAAGTATGTGGTCAATTTTAGAATAAGTGCAATGTGGTGCTGAGAAGAATGTATATTCTGATGATTTGGGGTGGAGAGTTCTGTAGATGTCTATTGGGTAGGCTTGGTCCAGAGCCGAGTTCAAGTCCTGAATATCCTTGTTAATTTTCTGTCTCGTTGATCTGTCTAATATTGACAGTGGGATATTAAAGTCTTCCACAATTATTGCGTTGGAGTCTAAGTCTCTTTGTAGGTCTCTAAGAACTTGCTTTATGAATCTGGGTGCTCCTGTATTGGGTGCATATATATTTAGGATAGTTAGCTCTTCTTGTTGCATTGATCCCTTTACCATTATGTAATGGCCTTCTTTGTCTCTTTTGATCTTTGTTTGTTTAAGTCTGTTTTGTCAGACACTTGGATTGCAATCCCTGCTTTTTTTTTGCTTTCCATCTGCTTGGTAAATATTCCTCTATCCCTTTATTTTGAGCCGACGTGTGTCTTTGCACATGAGATGGGTCTCCTGAATACAGCACACCAATGGGTCTTGATTCTTTATCCAATTTGCCAGTCTGTGTCTTTTAATTGGGGTGTTTAACCCATTTACATTTAAGGTTAATATTATTATGTGTGAATTTGATCCTGTCATTATGATGCTAGCTGGTTATTTTGCCTGATAGTAGATGCAGTTTCTTCCTATTATCAATGGTCTTTACAGTTTGGTATGTTTTTGCAGTGCCTGGTACCTGTTTTTCCTTTCCATGTTTAGTGCTTCCTTCAGGAGCTCTTGTAAGGCAGGCCTGGTGTTGACAAAATCTCTCAGCATTTGCTTGTCTGTAAAGGATTTTATTTCTCCTTCGCTTATGAAGCTTCATTTGGCTGGAAATGAAATTCTGGGTTGAAAATTCTTTTCTTTAAGAATGTTGAATGTTTGTCCCCACTCTCTTCTGGCTTCCAGGGTTTCTGCTGAGAGATCCGCTGTTAGTCTGATGGGCTTCCCTTTGTGGGTAACCTGACCTTTCTCTCTGGCTGCCCTTAAGATTTTTTCCTTCATTTCAACTTTGGTGAATCTGACAATTATGTGTCTTGGAGTTGCTCTTCTCAAGGAGTATCTTTGTGATGTTCTCTGTATTTCCTGAATTTGAATGTTGGCCTGCCTTAACTAGGCTGGGGAAGTCCTCCTGGATAATATCCTGAAGAGTGTTTTCCAACTTGGGTCCATTCTCCCCATCACTTACACCAATCAAACGTAGGTTTGTTCTTTTCACATAGTCCCATATTTCTTGGAGGCTTTGTTCGTCTCTTTTCACACTTTTTTCTCTAATCTTGTCTTCTCACTTTATTTTATTGAGTTGATCTTCAATCTGTGATATCCTTTCTTCCACTTGATTGATTCGGCTATTGATACTTGTGTATGCTTCACGAAGTTCTCGTGCTGTGTTTTTCAGCTCCATCGGGTCATTTATGTTTTTCTCTAAACTGGTTATTCTTGTTAGGAATTTGTCTAACCTTTTTCAAGGTTCTTAGCTTCCTTGCATTGGGTTAGAACATGCTGCTTTAGCTCAGAAGAGTTTGGTTTTACCCACCTTCTAAAGACTATATGTGTCAATTCATCAAACCCATTGTTTATTCAGTTTTGTTCCCTTGCTGACAAGTACTTTTGATCTTTTGGAGGAGAAGAGGCATTCTGGTTTTTGGATTTTTCAATCTTTTTCCACTGGTTTCTCCCCATCTTCATGGGTTTATCTACCTTTGGTCTTTGATGTTGGTCACCTTCGGATGGGGTTTGGTGTGGACATCCTTCTTGTTGATGTTGATGCTATTCCTTTCTGTTTGTTAGTTTTCCTTCTAACAGTCAGACCACTCTGCTGCAGGTCTGCTGGAGTTTTCTGGAGGTCCACTCCAGACCCTGTTTGCCTGGGTATCACCAGCAGAGGCTGCAGAACAGCAAAGATTGCTGCCTGTTCCTTCCTCTGGAAGCTTCATCCCAGAGGGGCACCCGCCAGGTGCCAGCCAGAGCTCTCCTGTATGAGGTGTCTGTGGGTCCCTACTGGGAGGTGTCTCCCAGTCAGGAAACACAGGGGTCAGGGACCCACTTGAGGAGACAGTCTGTCCCTTATCAGAGTTTGAACGCTGTGCTGCTAGATCTGCTGCTCTCTTCAGAGCTGTCAGGCAGGGACATTTAAATCTGCTGAAGCTGCTCCTACAGCCACCCTTTACCCCAGGTGCTCTGTCCCAGGGAGATGGGGATTTTTTCTATAAGTTCCTGACTGGGGCTGCTGCCATTTTTTTCAGAGATACCCTTCCCAGAGAGGAGGAATCTAGAGAGGGAGTCTGGCCACAGCGGCCTTGCTGAGCTGTGGTGGGCTCTGTCCAGTTTGAACTTCCTGGCCGCTTTGTTTACACTGTGAGTGTAAAACCGCCTACATCGTTGCCTACTCAGCAATGGTGGACCCCCTCCCCCAGCCAAGCTTGCACGTCCCAGGTCCGCCTCAGTCTGCTGTGTTACCAGCAAGAATTTCAAGCCAGTGGAATTTAGCTTGCTGGGCTCCATGTGGGTGGGACCCACCAAGCCAGACCACTTGGCTCCCTGGCTTCAGCCCCCTTTCCAGGGGAGTGAATGGTTCTGTCTCACTGGTGTTCCAGGTGCCACAGGGGTATGAAAAAAAAAACTCCTGCAGCTACCTCGGTGTCTGCCCAATGGCCCCCAGTTTTGTGCTTAAAACCCAGGGCCCTGGTGGCATAGGCACTGGAAGGAATCTCCTGGTCTGCAGGTTGCGAAGACTGTGGGAAAAGTGCAGTATCTGGGCCGGAGTGCACCATTCCTCCCAGTACAGGATCTCATGGCTTCCCTTGGCTGGGGGCAGGAGATCCCCTGACCCCTTGTACTTCCTGGGTGAGGCAACACCCCACCCTGCTTCGGCTCACCCTCTGTGGGCTGCACCCACTGTCCAACGAGTCCCAATGAGATGAACTAGGTTCCTCAGTTGGAAATGCAGAAATCACCTGCCATCTGCATTGATCTCACTGGGAGCTGCAACCAGAGCTGTTCCTATTCAGCCATCTTGCCAGCCTCCTCACTGGATCTTAAAAGGTGTCAGACTCTTCAGAAAAGACCTAGTAAGGGAAGGAGATTCTCTGCAGAATGCAAATTCCCACACAAGAGATGGTTTTGCAGGTCCATCTCAAAATATGTCAAAGAAAATACATTTTTAGGATAAAATACTTTGATTTTCTTCAGAGCCTACTATCTGCCATGTGATGCTATAGCAGAGTCAGGTTGGAACTAGGTATCTCATTGCTACAAAGAGTCTGTTTTGTCAGTCTTATTTCTATCTTAATGTTAATGCTGGTCAGTTTTGTGTAAAACTCCAAAGGGAAGAGGGTATAATGAGTTATGTCTGACTTTCCACTTTCAGTCATTATTTCAATAAGCTTTTCAGATTTCTTTGGGATCCCTTGGCCAGGAAGGAGTCCATTCAGTTGATTGGGGAGCTTAGAATTTTATTTTTGGTTTACAGATTTTTATGGCAGCTTTTTTCATAATTGCCCAAATTTGGAGGCAACCAAGAAATCCTTCAATAGGTAAATTGATAAACTGTGGCCCATCCATACAGTGAAATATTATTCAGTGCTAAAAGGAAATAAGCTACCAAGATGCAAAAAGACTTCACACAAAACCTGCAGACAGGTTTTGGGAGAGGGGAAGGGATTGTATGAGAAATCTCTGTCATTTCTGCTCAATTTTGCTGTGAAACTAAAACTGCTCTATAAAATAAAGTATATTTTAAAAACTAAAAATAAAGTGAGGGAAGGTGGCAGGAGAAACCATGAGTACAGAAAAAATTATAGCCTAGTTATAGTGGGGCTGGGAGATAAGCCAAGCATTCATGAGCTGGAGCAACAGAGAGATAGCAGGTGCCCCTGCCCAATGGGGGCCAATATTCAACATTCTTAAAGAAAAGAATTTTCAACCCAGAATTTCATATCCAGCCAAACTAAGCTTCATAAATGAAGGAGAAATAAAATCCTTTAGAGACAAGCAAATGTGGAGAGATTTTGTCACTACCAGACCTGCCTTACAAGAGCTCCTGAAGGAAGCACTAAACATGGAAAGGAACAACCAGTACCAGCCACTGCAAAAACATGCCAAATTGTAAAGACCATCGATGCTAGGAAGAAACTGCATCAAGTAATGAGCAAAATAACCAGCTAACATCATAATGACAGGATCAAATTCACACATAACAATATTAATCTTAAATGTATATGGGCTAAATGCTCCAGTTAAAAGACACAGACTGGCAAATTGGATAAAGAATCAAGACCCATCAGTGTGCTGTATTCAGGAGACCCCTCTCACATGCAGAGACACACATAGGCTCAAAATAAAGGGATGGAGGAAGATCTACCAGGCAAATGGAAAACAAAAAAAAAAAGCAGGAGTTGCAATCCTAGTCTCTGATAAAACAGACTTTAAACCAACAAAGACCAAAAGAGACAAAGAAGGCCATTACATAATGGTAAAGGGATCAATTCAACAAGAAGAGTTAACTATCCTAAATATATATGCACCCAATACAGGAGCACCCAGATTCATAAAGCAAGTCCTTAGAGACCTACAAAGAGACTTGGACTCCCACACAATAGTAATGGGAGACTTTAACACCCCACTGTCAACATTAGACAGATCAAAGAGACAGAAAGTTAACAAGGATATTCAGGACTTAAACTCAGCTCTGGACCAAGGGGACCTAATAGACATCTACAGAATTCTCTACCCCAAATCAACAGAATATACATTCTTCTCAGCACCACATCACACTTATTCCAAAGTTGACCACATAGTTGGAAGAGACACACCTCAAGGTAATACAAGATAAATGGCAATAAATGATAAACCCGCAGCCAACATTACACTGAATGGGGAAAAGTTGAAAGCATTCTCCCTGAGAACTAGAACAAGACACTTTCACCACTTCTATTCAACATAGTACTGGAAGTCCTAGCCAGAGCAATCAGACAAGAGAAAAAAATAAAAGGCATCTAAATTGGTAAAGAGGAAGCCAAACTGTCGCTGTTTGCCACTGAAATGATTATATACCTAGAAAACCCTAAAGACTCATCCAAAAAGCTCCTAGATTTGATAAATGAATTCGGTGAAATTTCAGGATACAAAATCAGTGTACACAAGTCAGTAGCATTGCATTACACCAACAATGACCAAGCTGAGAACCAAATAAAAAACTCAACCTCATTCACAATAGCTGCAAAAAAAAAAACAAAAACAAAAACAAAAACTTAGCAATATACCTAACCAAGGAGGTGAAAGATCTCTACAAGGAAAACTACAAAACACTGTTGAAATAAATCATTGACAACACAAACAAATGGAAACACATCCCATCCTCATGGATGAGTAGAATCAGTGTTGTGAAAATGACCATACTGCCAAAAGCAATCTACAAATTCAATGCAATTCCCATCAAAATACCATCACCATTTGTCACAGAAGTGGAAAAAAACAATCCTATAATTAATATGGAACGAAAAAGAGCCCACATAGCCAAAGCCATACTAAGCAAAAAGGAAAAATCCAGAGGCATCACATTTCATGACTTCAAACTATACTACAATGCTATAATTACCAAAACAGCACGACACTAGTATAAAGATAGGCATGTAGACCAATGGAACCGAATAGAGAACGTAGAATAAAGCCAAACACAGCCAACTGATCTTCAACAAAGCAAATAAAAACATAAAGTGGGGAAAGGACACCCTAGTCAACAAATGGTGTAGGGATAACTGGCAAGCCAAATGTAGAAGAATGAAGCTGGATCCTCATCTCTCACCTTATACAAAAATCAATTCAAGATGGGTCAAAGACTTAAATCTAAGACCCAATACCATAAAAATTCTAGAAGATAACATTGGAAAAACTCTTCTAGACATTGACTTAGACAAAGAGTTCATGACCAATAACTCAAAAGCAAATGCAACAAAAACAAAGATAAATAGATGGGACTTAATTAAACTAAAAAGCTTCTGCACAGCAAAAGAAATGATCAACAGAGTAAACAGACAACCCATAGACTGGGAGAAAATATTTTCAAACTATGCATCTCACAAAGGACTAATATCCAGAATCTACAAGGAACTCAAATGAATCAGCAATAAAAAAACAAACAACCCCATCCAAAAAGTAGGCAAAGCACATGAATGGGCAATTCTCAAAAGAAGATATACAAATGGCCAAAAAACGTATGAAAAAGTGCTCAACATCACTAATGATCAGGGAAATGCAAATTAAAACCACAATGAGATACAACCTTACTCCTGCAAGAATGGCCATAATTAAAAAATCAAAAATAACAGATGTTGGTATGAATGTGGGGAAAAGGGAATGCTTCTACACTGCTGTGGAAGTGTAAACTTGTACAACAACTGTGGAAAACAGTATGGAGATTCCTTAAAGAACTAAAAGTAGAACCTCTATTTGATCCAGCAATCCCACTACTGGGTATCTACCCAGAGGAAAATAAGTCATCATATGAAAGACACTTGCACACACATGTTTATAGCAGCACAATTAGCAACTGCACAAATATAGAACCAGTCTAAATGCCCATCAACCAATGGGTGGATAAGAAAAATGTGCTATATATAGACCATGGGCCACTCAGCCATAAAAAGGAATGAAATAGTGGCATTCACAGCAACCTGGATGGAGTTGGAGACCATTATTCTAAGAGAAGTAACTCAGGAATGAAAAAACAAACATCATTATGTTCTCACTTATAAGTGCAAGCTAAACTATAAGGACATAAAGGCATAAGAATGATATAATGGACTTTGGAGACTCAAAGGAAGGGTGGGAAGGCAGTGAGGGATAAAACAATACATCGGGTACAGTGTACACTGCTTGGGTGATGGGTGCACCAAAATCTCAGAAATCACCATTAAAGAAATTTTCCAAGCAACCAGACACCACCTATTCCCCCAAAACTATTGAAATAGGAAAAATAAAGAAAGAAGGGGTACTGATCCTTGAATTAAAAAAAAAGAAAAGGGAAATAAAGATGGGAATTAAGCCATGAAAACAAAGAAGGAGCTGGAATCTGCTGGCCCCTCTGCATCTGCCTTTCACTGCATCTGACCACAAGGGCCACCTGACTGTATTGAGCGCATTTCATTTCCACCTTTTTCTTTTTCTTTTTTCTTTTTTTTTTTTTTTGAGATGGAGTCTCGCTCTGTTGCCCAGGCTGGAGGGCAGTGGTGCAATCTTGGCTCACTGCAAGCTCCGTCTCCCAGGTTCATGCCATTCTCCTGCCTCAGCCTCCTGAGTAGCTGGGACTACAGGCGCCCACCACCATGCCCAGCTAATTTTTTGTATTTTTAGTAGAGATGGGGTTTCACCACGTTGACCAGAATGGTCTCTATCTCCTGACCTCGTGATCTGCCCACCTTGGCCTTCAAAAGTGCTGGGATTACAGGTGTGAGCCACCGCGTCCAGCCCCATTTCCACCTTTTAAATGTCGTAGAGGTACCTTGTTTGGTCAGTTCTAACCTGAAACCTCATAGAGTTCAAGATTCTGAGAAAAATTATTTCACCTTACATTAATACAGCCAATTTGTGGCAAACACTGATATCAAATTTACATTCTACTGCCATTTTCTGAGCCTTAAACTTTAAGTTTAATGCTAAAGCATAGTGTAATCTTTTTGAAGATATTTTAAGTGGCAACTAATTTTAACATGGGTAGTACCAACAATGTATGTAACTCAACCAGAGTGATGACAATATAAACAGCTATGACCAAGTTTGCATGTGCACAGGCCGTGACCACTGTGTCACAACTGGCTGGCGGTGTTTATAAGATGCCATCACCTGTAAGACACATCCCAACTACAAAGACATCAACATGTGGAAAATGTACTTCTTTATTGATATGGTTTGCATATTTGTCCCCTCCAAATCTCATGTTAAAATATAAACCCCAGTGTTGGAGGTGGGGCCTGGTGGGAGGTGATTGGATCATGGGAGCAGATCTTCATGAATGGTTTAGCACCATCCTTTTGGTGATGAGTGAGTTCTCACTCAGTGAGTTCATGTGCTATCTGGTTGTTTAAAAGTGTGTGGCACCTCCGCCTTTGTTGTCATGCTCCTGCTCTCACCATGTGAGATGCCTGCTCCCTCTTCACCTTCCACCATGATTGGATGCCTCTGAGGTCCTCCCCAGAAGTGATGCTAGCACCACACTTCTTGTACAGCCTGCAGAACCATGAGCCAATCAAACTTCTTTCCTTTATAAATTACCCAGCCTCAGGTGTTTCTTTATAGCAATGCAAATAACCTAACACACTTATGAACTTTTATTATTTCCACTGCTTCTATTTACAGGTAAGGAAAATGAGAAACAGAGAACCTAAGCAAGTTTTAAATTGGAGAAGTTGACAGAAAAAAGATGCAAGAACATCATAAAATATTTTATCAAAATTCTTCAATTTTCAGATAAACTGAGGTCAAAGAGCATAAGCGTCTTGATTATTTTAACACAGCTCAGTAAAGACAGTGTGAGGGTGTAAATCCATGTCTTTTGAGTTGAGGGGCCATTGCCTTTTCTTGTATATTATGCTGAATTTAAAGCACAGAGCCTACATTTGGGAATGGTTTAAAGGAGTGCATTTCAAACTTTTTTTGGATCATGATCCATATTATTCATCATATATTACATCTGCACCCATATATAATACAAAAATATATAAATATATAACCAAAGCAAAAGTTTTATGAAGCAATACTTACTACACATGACACATTCTAATATTTTTATTTGTTTTATATTCTGTTTAGTTTAAAAATATTCTGGGCACATCTATTTCTGGCAAAGGTAGAATAGCTTGTTTTGACCAACCTCCCACTGAGAAAGAACAAAGAAATGGAAAAAATATTTTTAAGAAATTTATTTGCCAGCATTAGAGATACCAAAGCAGTGAAAGCTTAGTGGCCAAAATCCAAGAGAGAAGGGAACCCCCCAAAAACGAGCCCTATGTTTGCTGCTCCCTTTGAGGCAATATTATAATTATTCTAAAAGTGAAAATAGCAAATAAGAGCCTGAGAAGCTGAGCAGAACTTTTGGCATCTCTATGAGGCAGGGGCAAAAATTGATATTCAGTAATCACCAAGGAAATAGGGCCACAGAAAACACCCCAGACTTTCAGGTGAGATCTTCAAATACTGTACCCTAGAATACAAGTGAATCAGAAATAGACCAGCTCTCACAAGTGCTAAAGATCAATTTCAAATCAACTCAGTCTCAAATTGTTTGAAAGTAATCTGTGTCCACCCTGACTGCTTGCCTTAAGCATAAGTAAACTGAAGATAACATATTGAATCTCAAAACATGTTTTATACAAAATATGGACATTCAATTAAAAATGATCTGGCATACAAAAATACAAGAATAGACCAGAAACCAAGAAGATAAAAAAATTACACAATAGAAACATTCCCAAAGGAGACCCAGATACTGAAATGATCAGAATTGGATTTTAAACTATGATTTGCACATTCAAGAAGTTTAAAAACAGGATGAAAAATAGGCCAGAGAAATGCAAACTACAAAGGACAAAATTGAAATTTTATAACTAAAAGTTATAATAATTAAAATTAAAGACTCAGTGAACCCAATCAACGAATAGGTTCAACAGCAGATTAGACACAATAGAAGAGAGAAATAATGAACTGGAATACAAACCAGAAGAAATAATCAGATAAAAGTATGATAAGTAGATTTTTAAAATGCAGAAAAGAACACAAAAGTCATATGACTTATGGTACATATCATGAGCATATCTAGTCAGTAAGGAAGATGAAATGGACCTGTAAAAGATACTTAGTAAATAACGACCAATTTTTTTTTTTTTTGAGATGGAGTCTTGCTCTGTCTCCCAGGCTGGAGTGCAGTGGTGTGACCTCGGCTCACTGCAAGCTCCACCTCCCAGGTTCACGCCATTCTCCTGCCTCAGCCTCCCGAGTAGCTGGGACTACAGTCGCCCGCCACCACGCCCGGCTAATTTTTTGTATTTTTAGTAGAGACAGGGTTTCACCATGTTAGCCAGGATGGTCTCGATCTCCTGACCTCATGATCAACCTGCCTCGGCCTCCCAAAGTGCTGGGATTACAGGTGTGAGCCACTGTGCCCGACCCCAGAAATTTTTCAAACTGATGAATAACATCAAATCACAGAGTCAAGAAGTTATATGTATTCAAAGCAGGACAAATAAAAGAAAGCCACACATAGGCACAACAAACACAAACTTCTGAAAACAGGAGACAAACACTTTAAAGCACATAGAAAAAAATAAGACATCATTCCTTCAAATAGGCAATCGCAAATCAACTGACAGCTGATTTATCACAAAAATAACAGAAGCAAAAGACAATGTCTGTCTTCAAGTTGCTAAAAGAAAATACTGCCAAGCTGGAATTCTATGCCTAGTAAAATTAATCTTTAAAAATGAAGGTGAAATAAATATATTTTCAGACACACATTCATAATTCAAATATACGGAGATAATTTATCACCCACTAACCTACACTAAACGATATAGTCAAGGGAGTCTTTAGGCAGAAGTCAAATTATCCCAGATAGAACTTTCCAATAGAAGAAGTATGATTTCCGTATAATAATGATAATAATGTCTAGTGGGATTTAAGCATATATATGTGTATATATAGATATATGCACATGTACATATATATGCTCAATAATAGTATGAAAGGCAGAAAAGGGATAAGTGTAGCTAAAATATTCTAAGGTCTTTGCATTGTCCAGGGAGTACCAAAATTATTAACTTATAAGATATTTAATATTTTAATAAGTTCAGGGTGCATAGTGTAATTTATCAATAAAAATTGTAAAATAATGCATGACTGAATTATAAAAATATTTAAAAAGAAACCAAGAGAGTAGGAAAAAAACATTAAAAAGTGAAACAAAAATTAAACTATAATAAATTTTATCACAAACATACTAGCAATTACATTAAATATGAAGTTACTAGATACTTCAATAAAAATGAGAAAGATTGTTCAGATTGGATTGCCAGATTGGATTGGCCTTGAACTTCTGGGCTCAAGAAGTCCTCCAACTGCAGCCTCCCAAGTAGCTGGAACTACAGGTGTTTGCGACCTTGCCCAGCTGAGAATGCCTTTCTTCCCAGCCATTTTCCAAGCCTCGCCTCTGACCTCATATGGATTCTGTGTTCTCTATTATATTTTCAATCTATCCCCTTCTTGGTTAAGGTAACCAGATTTGATTTCTGTTGATTGCAATAAATAATTCATTAATGCATTTCCAGAACTCTGGTCTTTGAGTCCTAGGCCAATAGATATATTTGCACCCCTATCCAGAGAGAAGAGAACATGCCAATTTCCCATTCTTCTCATTCTGAGAATCAGAAAATTGAAGGAGTAGTGATTGCATTCCCTTTATAGGAGGAACCTTATTAATCATTGTTGAGACATCTCAGATTTGAGGTTTAGGTTTTAAAAAGTAAAAACGTCTTCATCATTTTATTCCCAAGAGGTTTTGCTTTGCTTTAATACACTCAGCAAAATGCCTGCCACTCCTTTTACTTATTACCAGAGAAGAGCCTTTCACTAATTCTGAGGCACTCAGCTCTCTATGTCTCTGCTATGAACACTTTGTTCTGCAGCATCTTTATCGTATTTTATTTTTCCCCAACTTATTTGATTTTGAGCTGAAGAAACAACTTCAAATGCACTTCCAAACCAAAAAGACTCTCCTGCTGAGCAGCATCGCAAACTCTGAGAAGTCTTGTGAGCATGCTCCCTGACAGTCGCACCCAGGGGTTTACTGTTTGATTGACAAGTTGCAAAAGGGCTGCAGATAGAAAACAACAGACAGCCAGTATGTTTTCTTAGGATGGAACCACGTTTTTTAAAAAATAAAAGTAAAAACTAAGCCACAAAGAACAGGAGATTTCACATTAAAAATTCAGATTTTTTTACATCATTAGAAAACTATAGAATGTAGCAGCAAGAAGTCCATGTTCCACAGGGCACAACAAAGCAAGTCACTACCAGTTTGCCTCAGTCCCCAGCTCTCGCTGTTATCATTCTGGCACTGAGGCTGAAAGTCTGCTGTTATTTTCCTGCTGCTTCTTCTGTTGTCTGTGAATGAAAGGTAGAAAAGGCCATCTGTTTGAAGAAAAATGGAACAGAACATATTTGCAAGATTGCCTAATGGTTGTGTAATTTGTGTCCTGCACAAACAGCACAAGTCAGGGCTGGTATACAGTGCACACTTACCCCTGGCTTGGGGCAGCATGAGCCCAGAGGGGACATCATTTTCTAATTTGCTCAAAGCCTTCATATAGACTAGCAGGGGCTGGGCATATTTTATATGTGATGTGTGTTTGTGTTAAAAGAGTAAAATTCAGCCTGCTTTACTTATTTATGTTGCCTGGTCAGCAGTGTACACGTCTGAATTTGCAATCTTTGGTATATTCCTACTTGTCTTAATCCACTCAAGCTATGTAGTGAATTCCTATAATTTTATGTTGCTTCAGCATCTATTTTGAATACAATTTGGACCTTCTTATACCCGAAGCAAAGAATAGTCACCATTGACACAGTTTCCAGTTACCCACCTATTCCCAATTTCTCAAGGTGGTTGACCCAGATATCTGCCTTAAAAAACTGCCTCCTGATGAATGCTTTGCTATGGGACAGCTAGATGCAGCCTGCTTTGCATCTCACCCCACTGACCCCCACACTCGACGAGGGCTGCACAGATATGCTGCAATGACCATCTTAAAGTAAGCGTGACTCCATGGAACTCATGCCTGCTTGCTCTATAACCATCAGTTAGAACTCCCAGCAGGAAACCTGCCTGGGTAACACCCGGGACCCCAGTGAAGGCCCCAGCCCCTAGGTCCTTCCCTCTCTGGTACTCCCCCTGCTGGTTAAGTGCCCTGCCCCTGCAGTCTTCCTGTTGACCTTATTGGTACTCCCCTTCTCTTGTGGATCGGTAAGTAATCCACTGCTTCTGATATTTCCTGTGTTTTGTTGCATCGTCTCCTCTGTGTCTCACCTGACCGACACACCTGAAGCTAACTTCTCTCCAGGTCAGCGTTCCCCGAGACAGTGGCTATCTCACTTGGAAAAAACTGGACATAGGTCAAACAAGAGCCACAAAGGCATTTACCAAGGGAAACACATTTCCTGTGATAGGGACCCCGGGTCACAGGCCAGACAGTTAGGCATCCTTTATTAGGATAAAGAAGTATCCTGTGAAAGACACAGAGTAAACGTTCATGACCACTTCCCCTACAGCCCCATCAGGGCAGGCCTAGAGTTTACAGCCTCCCTCAGGAGAGAACCTTAAGACCAAATTAGGAAAAAATATAACAGGCTGCTCTAACAAAAATACCATAGACCAAATAGCTTATAAGAAAAAAAAATTTTCTTCTCACAATTCTGGAGGCTGGCAAGTCCAAGATCAAGGCACTGGCAGAGCTGGTGTCTGATGAGGGCCCATTTCATGGTTTATGGACATGCCTTCTGGCTGTGTTCTCACATGGTAGAAGGGGTGAGTGAGTTCTCTGGGGTCTTTTTCCTAAGGGACTCATTCATAAGGGCTCCACCTGCCTGACCTAATCACTTCTCAAAGGCCACATCTTCAAATACCATCACATTAGGGATTAAAATTTTAACATATGGATTTGGGGAGACCTAAACATTTAATCTATAGCACTACGGTTTCATAAGCTATAATTTCACGGGATTTCCAGAACAATCCAGATATAAAAAAATTTTTTTCCCAACTAGGCATGGACAAGTTAAGACCTTTTCTGTTATTACAAATACCCAAAACAGACTTTTCACCCACCTCCCTTTTGCCCAGTGGGTGACCTGCACGTTAGAATAGTCCCTGTTCACTCCCATGTTGAAGCCTTCACCCCTGCTCTCTCCCTCATTTGAAACAACCTCACCACCCACTACACCTATCCAGATCTTTCCTATTCTTTTTTTTTTCTTTTTTGAGACAGGATCTCACTCTGTTGCCCAGGCTGGAGTGTAGCTGCATGAGCATAGCTCATTTGCAGCCTCAACCTCCTGGGTTCAAGTGATCCCTCCACCTCCCAAGTAGCTGGGGCTACAGGGCATGAGCCACCATGCCTGGCTATTTTTTTAATTTTTTTTTTGTAGAGACAGGGTCTCACTATGTTGCCCAGGCTGGTCTTGAACTCCTGGGCTCAAGCAATTCTCCTGCCTCGGCCTCCCAAGATGCTGGGCTATCCATTCTTTAAGGTTAGAGTGGACATCTATTTGTTTTGTCTGCCAAGCACCCTTTCATAGTAGAGCTGTATGTGGGATACTGGTTTTCATTCCGGATCCCAACTTCAAGGCCTATGTAACTGTCTATTCCCCAGAGGCCAAGAATGTCAGTGGGTGACAGCTCACAGTTGCATCCCTCCCAGCCACAGGAAACAGCTTCACCCAGGGTTACATCCCCTCCTGGGGTATTCTGTGGCCAACAATCAGCTGATGCAGAACTCCATAAAGGATCACCTGAGGCCTTAGTTGCAACTGCAGGGAAGGGTGGCTTCTCCCTCTGCCCAGTCCTGCCGTCTTCACTCCCCTAGGTATATCTCCTGAGCGTACCTGCAGAAAGTCTTCAGCATAAAGTCTGGCTCTGAGTCTTTTTCCAGAGAACCCAATCTAGGGCCATTTACTAGTACCAGAAGTGGCCCTAGGCAGTAGCCTCTAATTTAGAGTCATTTGAAGGGGATGTTGGAGCAGGATCACTTGCTGGCCAGTTGGTGTAAGGATCCCATCACCAGTGGTAGGAGGTGATGCTGTAGGGGTGCAGATGCCATAACGTTCCACCAGTGATGAACTGGGTTGGCTTTCCAGTAGAAAGGATAGCATGGACTGATGCAATATCTCTGAGGCTTGAGAGAATGAAGACAATCATAGCAACGAGGACTATGGAAGTGGGTGGTTGATGCTGAGTGCTCTTGATTTATTGATGAGAGATAAGGACAGTCAGAGCAATTAACCACCAATTCAAGGCAATACTGAAAGTCAAAGGTTTCTCTGCAGCTTTTAAGGAAAACTTGATCTCTTACAACTGGAGGGCAGAGAGAAGACCAGGCTCAGGACTTAATTCTAAGAGTAGAGGAGTTTCTGGAATGGTTGAATTCCCCACCCCACTAGGTCTCCTATGCCATGGTCAAGTCTTTCATGAGGAAGGAATAGAACCCTGCAATTTGGGACAGCAGTGTCTGGATATAGGTATTTGAGAATATTGAATCCCCAGATTCCCCTGAACCAGCTGCTCCTTTAGAATTGGTCCATTTCCCCTCGTTAGAAGATGGCTCTTCCCTTTGCTCAAAGATGGTGCAGGAGCCTCAAGTAAGGCTGGCATTTTGTGAGACACAGTTTGCTTCCCTCGTGGTCTACCCCACCTCCCATCCTGGCGAATTATAAAAGTCAAATCTCTGTGGAGGTCTATTGATGGGGTATTGGGCTTACTAAGGAATTAGAGGGACCAAGTTGCTGCAGAATCTGGCTAACATATACCTGCAGGAGCTAGGAGAGCACGCATGGAATGGAATCTTGAAGGTGCTAAACTGAGGGGAAATGGGAGATAAAGTTGGATTAAAGATGGTTTATTATTATAGGAGCTTCTTCCATGATAAAGGATTTAGCATCCTGGCAAGGGCTAATATGCTGCGAAACAGGGTTAATAGCATCCTGGAAAACAGAGCTAATAAGATCTTAGGCTTTCAAGACCTTGGAAATAGTGATGGCTCACATTAAGTGAAATAGAAATATCATAACTTCCTTGGCAGATGGAAGAGAAAAGCCTCAAAGCCTCAGAGAAGTGGGCCTCCTAAAATGGATCAAGGCCAAGAATGCGAGGCGAGAAATTCACTAGCTGACTCTGTGAGAGGGCCCAGAGGATGTTTGTTTACCAAAGTCATAAGGAACGTGCTGGTGAAGATCCCAGCCTTGCCGAGAAGCTCAGTTGAGGATGTCCTCTGTCAGCCAGGGATGATGATTGCAATAGGGGTGATAGGATCCTGAAATAATAGAGGTCAGAGGGTGATAATTAAACATCAGAAGCCAGCTGGGCACAATTATCACAATAAGGAACAAGGCTGAGTGAGAGCGTAGGGAAGCTGGTCTGCAGAGAGCTGGAGATGGTTCATGAAACAGGCTGTCCCTAGAGGCAAGACAAATGGGCACCTGACAAGAATGTTGCTTAATGTATAAAGTCCAAAGAAATTAAGAAAGGTTGATCAGAAGACTGAGGGCAGTCCTCCCAATATAAAGTCAAAGTTCCATGCCTAGTTTTTGAACCTCAGCCACTTCTTAGAAATGGAGCCCAGTGACACAAAAAGAGATCAAGTCCCTATGAAGAAGGACCATGCAATAATGCAGCAAGTGTACTAAATAGTAAATTCCTGGATACATTAGTCAGCGTTCTTCAGAGACACAGAACCAATAATATACTACATATATGATGTCATATATATATCAAATATATATTATATACTATATATCATATATAGTTTTTTATTGGTTCTGTATATATTATTATTGGCTCTGTTTCTCTGAGGAAGCCTGAGTAATACATCTGGGAATTTACTATTTATCTAGGAAACTTCTAGCTCACTAGCTAAAGAGAGAGGGCGGCTGGCAAGTCTGAAATCAATAGGGTGGGCCAGCAGCCTGAAAATTCAGGAGAGTTGGCATTGCAGTCTTGAATCTGAATTCCACAGGGCAGCAGGCTGAAAACTTGGCAGGGTTTCTATGTTCACAATCTGGAGGAAAATTTCTTCTTTGGGAAACCTTCGTCTTTGTTCTTAAGGCCTTCTACTGATTGGATAAGGCCAACCCACAAATGGAAAGTAATCTGCTTCACTCAAGTCTACTAATTTAAATGTTGATTACATCTGGAAAATACTCTCACAGTAACATCTAGGCTGGTGTTTAAAGAAACATCTAGGCACCATAACCAGCCTAGCCATGTTGACATATGGAATTAACCAGCATACTTGACCTTCCCCCAATGGGATCTATTGCCATTTATTCAGGTAACCATGGTAACCATGCACTGGGGGCAGGGGGAATACCCAGTCCTTTCAAAAATGTTGGGTACAAGATTGGGATTACAATTGATATCTGGGGCCCTGGACCACATACGTCTTATGGGGAGTTCTCTGGGAAGTCATTTTCCTGGTCCCTAAATGAATAATTGGAGTGGCCATGCTTGATGGTTGGCAGAACCTTCACACTGGCTCTTTGACCTGCAGTCGCAAAAAGTATTAAAGTAAGAAAGGCTGAGAAGAAGGTTTAAAACCACTCCCTAACCATGCTAAGACAGTAAGTAAAAAAACAATACCATATTCTATGGAGAATGCAAAAACAATGATAGCAGGAGTGATGGTTCTGTGAAACCCTACATAACTCATCAGTCTGGTCTCTGCAAACACCAGTGATTCATGGCTGATGACAGTGAACAACCACAAACCTAACCCAATACCAGCCCCCAGTGCAGCTACTGTGTTAAATGTGTTATCTTTGCAAGAGCAGATTAACCTCTAACATGTAGGATGTGGCCACTGATTCACTGAGTGAGTGCTTGTCCAACCCTGTCTGGGAGAATAATCAGAAACAGTTTGTGTTCATATAGCACAGACAACAGTATACATTTGTGGTATTGCCCTAGGGCTATGTTAACTTTCCTTCTTTCTGCCAAAATATAGTCCAAAGAGACCTAGATTGTATGGATAGTCCACAGAATATCACATTAGTCTATCACATCAGTGGTGTAATGTTAATTAGAGCAGATGAACAAATTATTGCATCTCATACCTAAAATTAAGAAAGTACAGGCAGGGCATGGTGGCTCATGCCCAACACTTTCAGAGGCTGCGGCAGGAGGATCGTGTGAGGCCAGGAGTTAGAAAACAGCCTGGTCAACATAGCAAGGCCCCATCTCTACAAAATAAAAATTAAGAAAAAAATTAGCCAGGCATGGTGGTGCATGCCTATAGTCCCAGCTACTCAGGAGGCTGAGGCAGAGAATTGCTTGAGCCCAGGAATTCAGCTACAGTGAGCCATGATTGCACCACTGCATTCCAGCCTGGCCTGCACTCCAGTGAGACCCTGTCTCAAACAAAACAAAATGCAATGTGTGGTAGGCTTCTTTGTGTTCTGGAAGCAGCATATTGCACCATTGGGAAGGTGCTCTGATGCATTCACTGAGTGATGTGGAAGGCTCCAAGATCTGAATGGGACCCAGAGTGGAGCAGGGCTCTGCAGCAGATCCAGGTGGCAATGCGTGCAGCCGTGCTGCTTGGGCCACTTGATTCAGTTACTAATGTTATCTGTGGTGGGGAGAGAGGCTTTGTGGTGTTTATGGCAGGCATCAATAGGAGAATCACAAAGTAGACAGCTAGAATTCTGGAGCAAGGCCATGCCACCTGTAGCAGAGAACACCACATCATCTCATCGTTGGCCGGTGGGTTCTTTTTGCCCACTGCCCAGAAAGCCAATGCACTGAGAATAGCAAAGAAAGAGTTTAATTATCTCAGAGCTGGCCAGGCACAGTGGCTCACACCTGTAATCCCAGTATTTTGGGAAGCTGAGGTGGGTGGATCACTTGAGGTCAGGTTTCTAGACCAGCCTGGCCAACAGGTGAAACCCTGTCTCTCAAAAAACACAAAAATTAGCTGGGTGTGATGGCACACACCTGTAATCCCAGCTACTTGGGAGGCTGAGGCGTGAGAATTGCTTGAACCAGTGAGGTGGTTGCAGTAAGCTAAGATTGCACCACTGCATTCCAGCCTGGGCGACAGAATGAGACTCTGTCTCAAACAAACAAACAAATTACCGCAGGGCCAGCTAAGCAGAAGGGTGGGAGGTAATTCTTAAATTCACCTCCCTGAGAATTGAGGGCTAGAGTTTTTCAAGGAAAGTTTGGTGGGCAGGGAGATAGGGAATGGGAACTATTGATTGTTTGGGTCAGGGATGAAATCATAGGGGTTTGAAGCTGTCTTCTGGCGCTGAGTCAGTTCCTGGGTGAAGTTACTGGTTAGGATGGTGCCAGTTGGTTCATACGGAATGCCAGGTCTGAAAAATATCTCAAACATCAGTCTTATATTTTACCATAGTGATGTTATCCATAAGAGTAATTGGGGAAGTTACAAATCTCATGACCCCTGGCCATGTTACTCCTGAGTAGTAAGTAGTTAAAGAAAGGCAAGCTATAAAACAATGACTGATTAGAGTTTAACTATGTCTACATCTTTGCAGAATCCAGGCCCTCATCACAATCCCAATATTGTTATCTTTTATTAGTTTTACAAAGGTGGTTTGGGTCCCCAAGTGAGAAGGGGGTTAGTTTCTGGAAGGGGCTGTTATCACCTTTGTTCTAAAATTTAACTATGAATTATATTCCTCTCAAAGCTAGCTTAGAATGAGCAATGATAGCTTGTGGGGTTAGAAGCAAGATAGAGCCAGTTATGTCCGATGTTTCTCACTATAATTTTTGCAAAGATGGTTTCAATTTGAAAAAAACAACTTCAGGTACACTATTGGGTCTTGGTAAATGGAGCATATGACCTTGAACATCAAGTGACCACATGGCCAGAAATGCCCATCCTAAACTGGATTCTGTCAGACCCACCAAATCATAAGGTCAGATGGCCCAACAGAAATCCAACATACGATGGAAATTGTACATCTAGGATCAACACAAGTGAGGCCAGAGGGCACAAGCAAGTTGTGTGAACAGGTAGCCCAAACTGTATGTCACCCATCACTCTTGCACTGGCCTCTTCTCCAGCTCACAGTGGTGGCTGTAGGGGAGTTTCCTTTGTGACCAGTGGAAAGAAAAGGGCTGAGCTTGGTTCATGGATGGGTCAGCTTGTGTCAGTGGATGCTGAAAACAGATGGCAGCTGCACTGTTCAGGACTGACCTTGAAAGAGCAGTGAAGGAAAATTCTTCCAATGGGTACAGATCCAGGCAGCATACCTGGTCACCCAACTATGGAAACAGAAGAGGCCCAAGATAAGAATATACTAAAACTCATGGCCTAGCTGGTTGGTCAGAGCCTGGTAGGAGAATGATTAGATTGTCAGACACAAGGAGGTGTGGATGGAACCATGGGAATGTATTCCATGCTAATGGCCATCAAAGAGCACCCACTATAAAGAGGCTCTACACAAGTTAGACACAATGACTCAGCAAGTTCATGTCACCCATTCCAGTGCTGGTATGATGGGTGTGTGAGCAGAGTGGCCAACATGGCAGAGATGGAGCCTACACATGGGCCCAGCAGCAAGAGTTTCCACCCACCCAGTCTCATCTAGCTACTTCTGCTGCCAAATGTCCAACCTGACATTGAGCCTCTGACACAGCACCATTCCTCAAGGAGTCCCCTTGGTACAATTGATTTGACTGAGAAGATGCACATTCTCAGTATGATCTGCCTTTCCTGTCCACAGGGCCTTGGCCATTATGAGCACTTACAAAGTATTTATTTCATTCCATCTACAAAGGATCCTGTAAACATTACTGCAGACCAAGGGGCACTTTACAGAAAAAAAGTGTGGCCACAGGCACAGAGAATCCACCAGCACAGAGTCCAATTACTTACTGTGTCATGCAGCAGCTGCCAGCCTGATAGAGCAGTAGACTTCCCTTAAAGATACTGCTGCTGGAGGATTCCCTGTGAGGATGAGTTGTCACCCTCCAGGAAGCAAATACAACCTAAAGCAATAACTATTACATACTGACATGTCCCCACGGGCTGAGGAGGAATGCACTATTTACCGGTACTGCAATGACCCACTCTGGGAGCGTGGGCTGCCCATCTCCCTTACTTCAGGTTCTGTGGGCGAGAAAAACAGCCACCATCCTGATAGGGATTATAGATCCTGATCATCAGGAAGAGGCAGGACTGATGTTGCATGAGAAAGAAGGGAAAAATACATCCACCATTCAGGTGATCTACTGGGATATGGCTTAGTGCTTCTCATGCCCAGTTTTAGTGGTAAATGGATAAGTACAGCCATGATGGCCCAAGAAGGACATGGTAACAGAATCTCAGACTCCTCAGGGATAAAGGTCTGAGTCACTCCAACAGGCTCTAGCCAAGGGCGAGTTGAATCTAGAAAAGGTTGAGGAGGAGGGGATGATGAGTATTAGATATAACCTCAAGAGCAATATACAACCTTCTCTTGTAAATTTCCCTTGAAATAAGACCAACCAAAGTCTTGGAGCAGTTGTTCTCATAGGGACAAACTTATTGTAAGAAATAAGTAGATGTGAACAGGGTGAAGTGTGGACAGTCCTGTGTGCTGTGGTACATCCCTCAATGCCCTCTTTAAAGCAGCAAACACATTCTTTGGTGTCTAGGAATATCAGCTGCTGATGGTTTGTAGCTGTGTCTTTCCCTGGGAATCACCCTCAGCTTCACCCAAGGTCATACCTTCTCATAGGGAAATGACACATAAATGACACAAAACAATAACTGGTCAATGGGACACAGTAGTCCAGCTTCCTTGTCTCAGTTGGGGACAATTCTCAGCTCCAGAGCTCCCTGTAGCTAAGGCCCCAGGTGTAACCACATTATGGGTTAGTTTCTTCCGCTGTCCAATCCTGCCTGCCTTTCTTCCTTATGGATGTGTCCCAAGAGCACTCTCCAGTAATCCTTCTGCACACGCGTTCCATCTCAGGAGCTGTTTCTAGGGAACCTCACCTTCTTTGAGGGAACATCTCTCCCAACTCCAGTCATGTGGCTCTAGCAGGGGCAAAGAGTCACAGCATCTTGTCCTCCTGGCCACCATTGGCCCAGGGTAAGGTTTTAATTTTTTTAAGATAGTGTCTCACTCTGTCACCCAGGCTGGGGTGCAATGGTGTGATCATGGTTCACTGCAGCTTTGACTCCTGGGCTCAAGTGATCCTCCTGCCTCAGCCTCCTCAGTAGATGGGACTACAGGCATGAACCACCACACCCAGCTACTCTTTTTTTTTTTTTTTTTTTTTTTGAGACAGAGTCTCGCTGTTTCACCCAGGCCGGACTGCAGTGGCGCTATCTCGGCTCACTGCAAACTCCGCCTCCTGGGTTCACGCCATTCTCCTGCCTCATCCTCCCAAGTAGCTGCTACTTTTTATTTATTTTTCATTTTTGTAGAGATGAAGTTTTGCTTTGCTACCCAGGCTGGTCTTGAACTACTGGTTTCAAGAGATCCGCCTGCCTTAGCCTCCCAACGTGCTGGGGTTACGGGCTTGAGCCACTGCACCCAGCAGGGATAAATTTTTAAATCTTCCACTCGTAGGGAAAGCCAGTCTACAATAAATGAGAATGAAGGCAACACCCAGAGAGAGGCAAAAATTAAAGAGAACAAGACTGTAAGTCACTGTTTCGGATAGCCTAGATGCCCTTCTTTCTCCTTCTTCTGACTTTAGTTGTTCAGCTTTGGGTCTATAGGCTACTACTCAGTCCTTACAAAAAACAACCCTTTGGTGTTTAAGTTAATTTGAGTGGAGTCTTTTATAGTTACAACCAAGAGGTCCTATCTAATACAAAATTCTAACTAAAGTCCTATTGTCTTTATGAAACTGTTATTGGTTTCTTCAGTGTAAAATGATTTATCCCCTCCCAGGCTGCACAGACCCCTGAGGTCTGTACCATACTCCTTGGTCTGCAGTTCTGTCTTGTAAAATTCTATCTATCTATCATCTATTATTTATTGTGGTTAATTACCCATAACATGAAATCTACATCTTAACCATTTTTACATGTTCAGTCCAGTGGCATTCAGTACATTCACATTGTTATGCAAACATCACCACCATCCATTGCCACAACTCTCATCTTCCCAAACTGAAACTCTGTCTCCATTAAACACTAACTCCTCTTCCCCATGAGCCCCTGGCTACCACGTTTCTA
Organism: Homo sapiens; assembly: GCF_000001405.40. Classification (NCBI taxonomy): domain Eukaryota; kingdom Metazoa; phylum Chordata; class Mammalia; order Primates; family Hominidae; genus Homo; species Homo sapiens. The sequence goes on from NC_000001.11 coordinate 230,547,665, forward strand.
CTGCCTGTTACTGTTCGATTCCTCTAGATATCTCATACAAGTGGAATCATACAGCGTTTGTCCCTTTGTCTGCATTATTCTTTGTTTTCTGTTTAGTCTTGCCTGCGCTCTCTAGCTTGTTAGCTCTTGCCTGATGCCCCATGTTTGCCAGCCTCTTTACCTCCCTATGCCTGGAACAGCCTGGAAGCAGTGGCACCTTCCTTCCCCTGCAGTTTGGGGTGTCCCCTTTTTCTGTCCTGCAGGCCTCAGATTAGCCAACTTGAGGACTGGCTTTCAACACAATAGGAAAATGTGAGGGCTCCCCGGCTGAAGCAAAATGTTCCCAGAATTGTGAAGGTTCTTCTTGGTTCTTCCTCCTTTATGTGGTTTATTTTTATTTTTATTTTTTACAATCTGGGAGCATAGATTCAAGTTTCCCTGAGTATATACTCCTCTTTCTATAATTTTTTCTTCATACTTCAGTTCCTGAGTGTTCACTGATGCCTGAAACTCTTGACCACTTGTCTTGTTTAACTCTCTTATAAGAGGTTCCTGGTACCACACACACACAAGTAATAATAATAATAATAATAATAAATAGATCTCAGACTGGAAACCAGGAGACTCAGTTCTGATCCTGGGTCCATGTAGCCTTGGACAAGCCTCTCAAAGGGTCTGTATCTCAGTTTCTTCTTCTTTAACATTGTGCTAACCCATGATACATGCTTCCTGTGTGTCAGGCACGGTGTCTGGATTGTCTTATGTAATACAAAAATGTGATCTGCATAGGATAAAGACACTTGGGTTAGAGAACATGTCACTTATCTGAGATCACACACAGTGGTGAAGCTGGGGTGAGAGCTTGCATCGTCTGCTTTGGAACCCCATGCTTAGCTCTATTGCCCCAGGCTCTCCAACCATACCTTCTCAGTTGCTCTTCATCTCCAAAGGTCTGTAACTGTTTCTGCCTAGCCAGCATGCACCTGCCCCAGCTTCAGAGTTTTCTGTGCTCCCTGGCTCTTGGCCAAGAGCCACACATTTGTCTGATGCTCCACCAGAATGCCTTGAGTCCAAAGAGCATTTGGGACTTTGAGCAAATCATTGGGCCTGGGCTTCCTTCCATAAGTCTTAAAGCATGAAAGAGGTTGTATTTAAGATGGGCTTTGGTGCTCCCATGGAGAACAGAGTGGCAGAGTATCCAGAATCATTGACTCCTTGCACTAGAGGGAATGTTTAGTTGTGATTTAGTTATTTCCCTTGGCTCCATCTCTTTTAATCAAAGGGACATCTACCCAGGGAAGAATATTGGGATTTTCTGGGTTGGGAGGAGGGCTGGAGAATTAGAACTGACCATTTGGGAACAGTAGCAGGTAGCTTTCTCACTCTGAGCCTGGCAGGTGGCAAGTACACAGAGGAGAGAGCTGGTGGCACCGAGGAGCTGTCCGGGAGGCCTATTTTTGGAAGACACATTGGGATGGCAACATCATGAGTCTGTGAGAGGACTTTTTTTCTTTTGAAAATACTCTTTAATGTCTCAATGTTCCACTTTCCCGGGAATGGAGCGGCTGCTGCCTTTCAGGGGAGCTATAAATACTCCTAGCCAGTTTGATTAAATAATGCCACAGAATGAGGGTGAGGAGGGCCAGGTGTTCTGGGAAACCTGTACAGCTGCCAATAATTGGACTAAAAAATGCAGAGGCTCCAGCTTGGCTGGCAGGATGAATACAGCGTAGGGAGAGAAAAGGGCTTCCCAGGCCCAGCTCCCCAAAAGCCAGTGGATACGGGGGAAAGGGCTGTGTTGATGCTCCCAGGAGGAACTTCCAATGAAGCCAAGGACTCTGGGGCTTGAGTGGACTCTCTGCCCAGGTGAGCAGTGCCAGGCTCAGAAGAGGACCCTGATGGAGTGCACAGAGCCTGGCGGGGAGATGCTCAGAGCAGGTGCATTCATAGCTGCTGTCGGGATGCCCTGCTCTGAGCAGGGAAAGGGCAGTGGGTACATGAGCTCCACACTTTCCCCACAGGGCTGGTGTGTTCTCATGGGCCTCAGCCAGCAGGTGCCCTTAGCCCTCCAAGTGGCTCATCCAGAACCATGTCTCTGGGCATTTTAAGGCATGGGGGAGGAGTGTTTTCTTGGCAAAGATAAGCAGAATGCAAGAAATAAATAGCTTCTCATGTGCATATAATTATACTGAGGCTCAGTGATTACTCGGGATCCTGACTTGGAATAAAGTCAACAATTCAGCAGTCTCCTAAAGACTTTGTCCAGCCCCACCTCCCTCATGTTTTAGAGCCTGTGATCCTATTACCATCAGGACATCAAATGTTTCACCTTTTTCTCCTTCATGATGTGGAGGAGACTTGCTTTGGAAAGCTGGTCTTCCAATCTGAGATGGCCTCAGCCCAGGAGATGTGCTGGGAGCATAAGGGGAGTTGTGTCCCCCACTTCATGCCAGATCCGCTTCTACTGCTCCCTCGAAGGGTAAATCCAGGAATGGTCTTCCCTGCGGGCAGAGGCGGGGCACAAAGTAACCCAATTCCTTAGCCCTGAAAGAGAAATGCAGTAGATATTGTGCCGCTGGCAGCATTTTCCTGGACATATTTGTATTTTTGTCTTCTGTTTCCACAGAACTCTCATCCTGGACGTTTGGCCACCTGTGAGGAAAAGAGGCATTTGATTTTCTGCAGAGGTCAACTCTTGTAAAAGCCTCTGTTCCTCATCCTTCAACAGAGCAGCCACATGTATCATTCCAGGCCCCACTTAAAATCAGAAAACCTAAGTGGGCACAGGAACAAGCTCAGGCTTTAAACTGCTTGTTGCTGGTGTAATGTGTGAATAGTGCATCTTTGGTGTAGATTCTAAAACAAAACTTGGAGAGCAACCCTGGTGACAGTGGTCACAGGCAGAGTCTGCTGTATCTGTCCCCCAAACTTATGCCTTCCTCCACACTGAGCAGCACCAGCAAAGGGTGCTTGTGAATCAGGATGTTGTTAAACAAGCTGGGAGAAGAGAAACCACAGTGTCTTTGTGTTTGAATGAATCATATTTCATGTGTCATCCTGTTTATTGTTGATGTCTTCCTTGTACCCCTTGCCAACAGGATCCGGGAAAATGGTGCATTCTAATCAGTGGGTCTGGGGTTTCTTTTTTTTTCTCTAGTTTTTTTTTTTTATTATTATACTTTAAGTTCTGGGATACATGTGCAGAACATGCATGTTTGTTACATAGGTATAAATGTGCCATGGTGGTTTGCTGCACCCATCAACCCATCATCTACATTAGGTATTTCTCCTAATGCTGTCCTTCCCCTTGCCCCCAACCCCGCGACAGGCCCAAGTGTGTGATGTTCCCCTCCCTGTGCCCATATGTTCTCATTGTTCAACTTCCACTTATGAGTGAGAAAATGTGGTGTTTGATTTTCTGTTTCTGTGTTAGTTTGCTGAGAATGATGGTTTCCAGCTTCATCCATGTCCCTGCAAAGGACATGAACTCACCCTTTTTATGGCTGCATAGTATTCCATGGTGTATATGTCCCACATTTTCTTTATCCAGTCTATCATTGATGGGAATTTGGGTTGGTTCCACGTCTTTGCTATTGTGAATAGTGCTGCAATCAGGATGAGCATCTTTCAGGAGGATTGCTGAGGGTGAAGATACCTCCAGAGAAATAACAGAGGGACTCACTGGATAAGTCCATACTAAGGTATGATACCAGATCCTTCCAGCAGAATTTGATGGGTCAGATAAAAATAATAGGAGATTATAATACAAAACAAGAAAAAATAGATATATTTCTTATGTATTATATCTATCTATCTATCTATCTATCTATCTATATGAATCTCTGCACTTTGGGAGGCCAAGAGGAGGATTGCTTGAGGCCAGGAGTAGTTCAAGACCACCCTGAGCAACAAGCAAGACCCCATCTCTCTCTCTCTATATATATATAAGGAGAAATAAATATATATTTGGCTTTTACCTCATTTCTGGTACAAAGTATCTAAACCCTTGTAATTTCCTAAGTGACAGAGGTTCTGGGAGCATCAGGAACATCCAAGCAGTGCCAATGGTAGCAATGTCTCTTGGTCCTGAGCAGGGCAATATTGACTTTCACCCAGTCCCCAGACAATAGCAGGGCAGCACATGGTGGCCTCCAAGGAGACACACACCCTTTGCCCTTATCTTGTTGCCCTCTGTGTCTGAGTCCATCCTTCCCTCCAGTCCTTTTTCTGCCACTGCTCCTATTGAAGGAGAACTCTACTACTCTAGCCAAATCTATGCAAAGTTTTCAGTAATTGCACACATCCCACTGTACTGTGGCTTCCTCTTTGTTCACACTCATTCTGGTTGGAATCTCTTTTCTTTCTACCTCTACCTATTTGAATGTTGTTTTCCTTCCAAGACCCAACTCCAGCATCATTTGACTTACTCATCATATTGACTTACATCTCTTCTGTCTTCATTGAGTTCTCAATTTCTACCAAGAGCTTTGCATATATTCATTCTAGTCCTTTCAACAATCCCATAAGATAGAGATTATTATTTCCACTTTATGAATGAGAAAACTGAGTTCAGAGAAGTAAAATAACTTGTCCAAGACCACACATAACTGATAAAGCTGGGACTGAAATACATGAATGAATGAATAGATTAATAAGAGCTTGCATTACCAAGAAGCAAATAAAAACATACTCAACATATTCCTCAGGGAAATGCAAATCAAAACCACAATGAGAAACCACTCACACCCACTAAAATGGCTCGAATAAAAAACACAGACAGTAACAATTGTTGGCGAGGAAGTGGGCAAATTGGAACTGTTATGCATTGCTGGTGGGAGTACAATAGTACAGTCATTTGGAAAACAGTTTGACTATTCCTAAAAAAAGTTAAAGATGGAATTGCCATATAACCCAGCAATTTCACTTCTAGGTGTATATGCAAGGATTGAAACGTGTTCACAGAAAACTTTTACTTGAACGGTCATGGCAGGGTTATTCATAATTGCCAAAAAGTAGAAAAGAGCCAGAAGTCCATCATCAGCTGATGACTAGCTAAACAAAATGGGCCATAGCTACATAATGGAATAATATTCAGCCATAAAAAGGAATGAACTACTGGCACATGCTACACATTGATGAACCCTGGAAACCTTAGTTCAATGAAAGAAGACAGACAAAGACAACTGCATATTGTGTTGTTAGAATTTAAACAACAGAGAGAGAGAGAGAGAGACTCTCTAAAATTAAATGATATTTATTTCAGAGTAAGCATGCAATAAGAATACAGTAGGCATATTTGGGAAGGTAAAGGAAGACAAGGGCTTTAAAAGAAAAAAAAAATGAAGAGGATTACATAAGTTATTTTGAAACAATTATCCTTGGCTACAAGGATCCAAACAAGGGCAGCACATGTCCGAGGTTGGACAGGCAGTAGCTGGACAGATGCCATTGCAGCAGCACTTTTTTTGTGTAAGATTGTGGTGGCCCATTTGCAAGGTTGTGATTTTTGCAGAGTCTTTTGTGATAGTTCTTGTTACCAGATAGACATGTGTGAGATCTTTTCCTTTATGGCTTTCGCTGGCTCTATTTGTCAGGATTTTCACACAGTGACTTATTTTAATTTTCAGAACTTTTACAATTCCCCCTTTTGATTGAGATCTTTCCCTGAAAGCATTGCTGATCAATAATCCTGTAGTTAGGTTTTGGTTATATTTTGGTGCCAGAATGGACCTGACATGGGTTGGTCTGGTCCCACACTGGAGGGAGTGATTGACAACTAGGAGTCGGTGTCAAAACTCTTTCAGCCACATTTGAGCCACAGGGAATTTCTGAAAGAGTGGCTTTCAAGCCTACCTGCAGTCCATTGTTAAGTTGAATTTTGTCTGTTCCATAAACATTGATTATCATCTCAAAGTGCTGGGCTAGCATTCTTTTGTTAGGATTTGTATTGTAGAAATTTGACAAGCAACGGGTACAAAGTTAAAAAAAAAAAGGAAAAGAAAAGAAAATACAAAGTAAAAATAATAGTAATATGATAATCTCAGTTTATATAACAATTATGAGCCACGAGTCTAGGCTTAAAGGCAACCAATTGAGTAAATCAAATGACTATGGTGAGTTAGATGAGACCTGTTGTAATGATGTGGCCTGTTTTATTATTTTGCGTATTTGAGTCTCAATGTTCCCAGAGAAATTTATCCAGGTACAGCATGTAATATTAGCAATAGCACAGACATTTTCTTATTTAACCAATAGATACTACAGAGTATTTCTATCATCTAGTATCTCCTGACTGAGTTGAATTAAAGCAGAATGAGCAATAGATGTATTGAGGATAGTTAAAGTTACTCATTAGGTGGACTAAATATTTTTAGGTCAGATTCTGTCAAGGTACCCCCAGTAGTATCTGTGAAACTTTAATTACATGATTATCCTGCCAAGTGAAAGAGATAGGCATAAATGAGAAAAAACTAAGAGGAGCTAGAGTCTCACTACGATGAGGGCTCTTGTTTTGTCACCTTGGGAAAAGCTGTCCATAGCATGAAGCCAGCAACATTATGTCCTGGATTGCTGCTGGAATGTCTTTGGTTATGGCATCAGGTGGTCTGGAGAACTTGCCATGTAGCCCAACCATCAGAAAGGCAACTTGTCCCTTAAAATTTAATTTCAGTTTATAGGGCTGCAGAAACAGAGAGGCTCCCATTTTTAGCAATTCCATGGAAAAAAAGTTGATTGGAGGAACCTAGAAGAATTCAGGATCTAGCCAGTGTATAGTAGGGAATAAAAACTTGAAAATAATGCACATGACTAACAGGTGTAATACATATGTTTTTGGAAACATAATTTTTTGCTTTATAGTTTTTTTCCCCATTTTTACCAGAGATAACCAGAGTGAGACAAATTTGTTTGTAAAATAAATTTAGTTTCATCGATTTTTGTCTGATCATTTACGTAAGTGCAACAAGGATAGTAATTGACTGCACAGGAATCTCAGATTTTAAAACCTCTTTAAGCTAGGAAGCTTAATCCAAGGCAGACTTCAGATTCCACCTGTAGTACTTATAAACAATTTAACTATGACATCCCAGTCAAAACCTTGGTACTATAACTAATGTTTTCAGTTGTGTCCTGTTATAAACACAGCACATCCTTATTGAATTTATGCAAACAATTATGTTGTCATAAAAAATAAAAATATTCATGAATAGTTTCCAAATTTTGGAGAGATCGAGTAGGGAGAAAAAGTGAATGCTTACACTTTTGTTTATAAAAGTATACTTGATCAAATTACTGTAAACTATAGACAGCTTGAGAGAAAAAGTTTCCTTAAATTTGGAAAGCAAAACATTTAAGCAGAGAACCAATGATGTTCCACATAAAAGTCATAGGAACATTTTCTTTATTACTTATTCAATTTTATGTAATTAGTTTTTGCTCTCTTTGATCTTGATGAGTAGTTTTATGAATGTATCAGTTTTATTAGAGTTCAAAAATATTTATTTAGTCCATTGATATAAAACTTATCAGGAACCTGTATTTAAGAGTACTTGCAGGCCAGGCGCAGTGGCTCATGCCTGTAATCCCAGCACTTTGGGAGGCTGAGGCAGGCAGATCACAAGGTGAAGAATCGAGACCATGCTGGCCAACACGATGAAACCCCATCTCTACTAAAAATACAAAAATTAGCTGGGCGTGGTGGCACTCGCCTGTAATCCCAGCTACTCAGGAGGCTGAGGCAGAAGAATCGCTTAAACCCGGGAGGCGGAGGTTGCAGTAAGCTGAGATCATGCCACTGCACACTCCAGCCTGGTGACAGAGGGAGACTCCATCTCAAAAAAATAAAAATAAAAAACTAACGACTACTTGTTAGTTAGAGTCTTTTCCATGAAAAGCAATTTTGGATTACAACTGATTATAAATGCTTTTAGAGAAAAGTAAAAACAGCAACTGTGGATGACAAAAGCTTAAGTTAGTCATGGCTAAAAATCTAATGTGAGCTCACAATTGATGAGGAAATTAGTTATTTTTATTGCATTCAGGATAACCAGAATCGTGACTGACAGTATCACATCAGAACCATCACACCTTTGTAAATTTCATGCAGTCTTTGGAATAGTTGCATCAGCTTTTCATTGGCTATTCTGCACTCACTATTCTGAATGCTTTGCTACCAGAAGATTTTCAGAAGTGAACAGAGAGAAAAAAATGTAAAAAAGCCAAATTACTTACAGACATGCATAACCAAATCAAAATGAAATCAAAATAACAGTGCTCACAAAACTTTTAAGCCAGGCACACAGATCAAAGAAAATGTTAAACCAGGTCAGCAGAAAAAAAAAAAGTAAATTTACAAGAAAAGACATGACTCACAGACAGAATGCAAATTTTATAGAAACCAAAATACTCAAACTAGAAAGACACTCGTCTTTATACCAGAAAGGGCTTGCCAGAAAAGACTTCTATAGTCCCAAGAGAAATGTAAGATTTTTAAATTTAAGGTAGCCTTATAACCAAAATAGATCCCAAATAAAGCCAAAAGAACTCACCAAAAAGGAGTCCAGGAATCTGAGAGGAGATTCAGCAGGGTAGAAAAGGTCAGCCACGGAGGTGGAGAGCTCAAAAGGGCTCAGCACAGGCAATTCACTCAATTTCAGGGGTTGTCCATCTGTCCAACTAACCAGCTTCAATTCTACTTCTGACACCAAATTATGTCAAAACCTAAATAACAGACAGAGAGAGACACTCTGAAAAATAAAAGATATTTGTTTGAGAATAAGCATTGCAATGGGAATATAGCAGATATATTTGGGGAGATAAAAGAAGACACAGGTTTTTAAAGGAAAAATGCAGAGGATCATATAATTTACTTTGAAATAATTATTTTAGGCTACAAGGATCAATAACAAGGGTGGTGCCAGTTCAAGGTTGGACAGGCGGTTGCTGGGAAGATGTCCTTGAAGAAATGCTTTTTATGTGTAAAGCTGTGGTGGCCTTTGTGCAAGGCTGTGGTTTTCGCAGAGTCTTTCGTGATAGTTTTTATCATCACGTATGTGTGTGAGAACCTGCTCTTCCTGGACATCCCCCTGGCTCTAATTCCGAGGCTTTTGACAAAAGTGACTCCATTTTGATTCTGACAACCTTCACAATATGATTCCATTTATATGAAATGCCCAGAGTAAGTACCCTTCTATATAGAGACAGTAGACTTATGGTTGCCAGGGGCTGGGGAGAGGAACAAACGCGGAGTGAGTTGGATTGGGTATGGGATTTCTCTTGGGGGTGAAGAAAATGTTCTGAAATTAGATAGCAATGATGGTTGTACAACTTCGTAAATATACTAAAAACCACTAAACTGGTCACTTTAAAATGATTTATTTTATGGTATATGAATTATATCTCAGTGAAAAATAGAGTCTATGCTACTTGGATTCACTGAATTATTCATCAAGCATTTATTAAACAACTATTATGTATCTAGAATAGTTTTGCCAAAACCAAGTACCTAGCAGGCACTCTAAAATATTTGTTGGTTCATTGATTGGGTGACCATGCTTAGCCCTGGGTATAAAGGGATGATTGAGATGCAATTTATTATGAAGCCAGACCAACAAAAAAGAGTACATATCATATTATTCCTATATTATTCCATTTATACCAAATTCTATAAAATGAAAACAACTATAGTGACACAAAGCAGATCAGCAGTTGTCTGGGGATGGGAGGGAGGTCAGGGTGGGTCATAAGAGAGAGATTACAAAGAGGCGCAGGAAACTTTTAGGAATATAGATATGTTCATTTATCTTGATTGTGATGGCTCCATGGGTATATATGTGTGTGTGTGTGTGTGTGTGTGTGTCTGTGTGTGTTTTTATGTCAAAACTTATCAAAATGTACATTTAAAATACAGTTATTCTTCAATAGCATGAGGGTTGGTGCTAGGACCTCCTGTGGATACTAAAATCTGCAGATGCTTGAACCTCCGAAATAAAATGGCATAGTATTTGCACATAACCTATGCACATCCTTTGGTATACTTTAAATCATCTCTAGATTACTTATAACACTGAATGCAATGCTAACACTATGTAAATAATTGTTATACTGTATTGTTTTTAAATTTGTGTTTTTTTATTTATTTATTTTAAAATATTTTTGATCCCTGGTTGGTTGACTCCAGGGATGCGAAGCCGAGATACCAAGGGCCAACCGTACATGCAGTTCATTGTATGTCAATTGTACCTCAACAAAGCTGTAAAAAAAAAATGTGACTTCTCCAAGAGTTTAAAATATGGTGCAAGTGACAGCTGTGCACTGTCCCCCTGCAACTCCCAAATTCCTACCAGATCTTGAATTGCCTCTACTCTAATGTCCTAAATGTCATCATCTCCCCCTGTGTTAGTTTGCAAGGACTACCATAACACGGTACCACACACTGGGTGGCTTAAAGAACAGAAATGTATTTTCTCTAGGTTCTGGGGACTGGAAGTCCAAGATCAAGGTGTCAGCAGGCTTGGTTTCTCTTGAGGTCTCTAGCCTTGGCTTGCAGATGGCCGTCTTCCCATATCCTCACATGGTCTTCCCTCTGAGTGCGTCTGTGTCTTCACCTCTTCTTCTTGTAAGGACACCAGTTGTGTTGGGTTAGGATCCACCCATACTATCTCATTTTAACTTAACTACCTCTTTAAAGACCCTGTCTCCAAATACAGTCATTTGCTGAGGTCTGGAGGTTAGGATTTCAACATGTAAATTTCGGAGGACCTTCTCACACTCTAATCTTCATGTCCTTGCAACTCTTTCACAAGCCTTCTTTCTAGAAAGCCTGTCCTTTGGCCTTAACGAACTTTGTTTCCCTCCCTACACACCCTGTTTCAGGGTGGGTAAATGCTTCAGCCACTCCTCTTGGGTAAATGGGCTCTCCACGCCTGTTGTCCCTCCACCTTGCCTGTCACCTCCATCACTCAACTCCAGGCAGCACTCCCCACGGTTCCTGTGAATTCAGCTGGGGAAAATGGAACCACTCTGTAAGTTACAGCTTAACAAACCTTTCGTGTATGACTCTCATGCACAATGGTGAAACTTCCCCAAATAACCCCCATGCTGTCCCAGCCTCTACTGCTCACCTGTCCACCTCCACTTCAGTGGCTGACCTCCTTTATGGAGGACAAAGGTCATCAGGCTGGAAACCCCTAGATGTCCACCCTCCTTCAGTCTACAATGGGTCAGAAGACACCATTAGTTCATGACTTTCTTCCTCATGTTCTGATAGTTCTGAACATCTACTGTCAGCCCAGGATAGTCTTCACCAAAGTAGCCTTTTCAATCCTACCAACTACTCTGCAAAAGAAGTGTGGCTATCTCCACTTCACAGATTAGAAAACAAGTGAGGGCCAGTCACAGAATGTGTCCGAGGTTACATGGCTAATAACCAGTGGAGATAGGATGAGGACACTGCCATTTCTTCCACCATTCATTCATTCATTCATTCATTGTGGAATGGCTTCGTTGAATAAACCAGGCATTTTGAAGAAGCTGGTGGCCAAAAATAAATAAAACACAGTCCCCTCTCACTTAGGTCTAGTTGGGGACAGCCACACATCAGATAATGGTACTACTGTGTAGTCAGGACCACTAATGAGAAATAGAATCCTTTGGTAGGGACACACAGTGCATTAAGACACTGAACTCGGTGCCAGTTTTAACTATTTGCCTCTGAGCACTTGGAGGGTAATGACCATTTATTTTTCTATTTTTTAGTCACTAGAATTGAGTATGGTGTTAGGCATTCAATCAATGTTTATTGAATATTTGTTGGAGCAAGTGAATAACCTTGAGCTCACCTCTCTGCCTTACTGTCTTACACTCATTTTCATTCCCCCAGCATATGAGGGAGAAAATGAAGGATTATTCATTTTCTAATTAAGGTTTGTACAGGTGTCCCAAGATGTAACACAACATTGACTTCCCAATAAAGAAAATACAAAAATAAAAACTTAAAAGTGTTTAAAATTTTACAAAGAAAGGCCTCCAGTTTTGCTTCACAGTTGACAGAGGAATACTGGAATGAATTCACTGTAAAGTAAGTCTCTTGTTACCACAGGTGGGTGCTTATATACAGGTTGATTCCTGTGATTGCGTCAGAGCAACGAACATGCCCATGAAGTCACTTCTAATAGGTCCTCTGTATCCTTCCTGCTTTGGGGACTGTGACAAAGAGGGATAAAACTATTGTTTCAGAACTACTGCTTCAGCTGGGTGTGGTGGCAAGCACCTGTAATCCCAGCTACTTGGGAGGTTGAGGTGGGAGGATCACTTGAGCCCTGAAATTCAAGGCCAGCCAGGGCAGCATAGAAAGACCTTGTCTCTCAAAACAAACAAACAAAAACAGGAAAAAAAATGACTGCTTCATGCAACAATATGGCTCAATCTTGAAGCAAGTTAAGCAATAGAGGCTAGACACAGGATTACCTAGTGTATTATGATTCCCTTTCTATGAAGCTCAAGAATAGAGAAAACTTGTCTATGGTGATAGAAGTCAGGGAAGGGCATAGAAGCATTGACTGGGAGGGACATGAAGAAGCTTTCTGAGAAGACAGAAGTGTTCTGTGTCTTGATCTGGCTGGTGGTACAGAGATGTTACACCTAGGAGTAAAATCCATCCAGTTGTACATTTTATAGCACATAAATTATGCAAATAACAATATTATATATCATATATTGTATACACTTATGCAAATAATAGTAATAATATGCAGGACTAGGAGCTGGACATTGTGAGACACACACACACATGCTATATTCTTGGGCCAAATATATTAGAAACTTTGCATGCTATGGCTCCCTGGCATATTTGCAATCTATATGAGTATATTAAAGACTCTGTAAAGCCCTGAAATAAGGAAGCCTGCTCAACCCAGTATATCCCAAAGGCTTTTGAGCCTGAATTCTCTTTTCAGTGTACCTACCCCCTTCTGCAGAGCATGAGTTGGAGAAGTGCTGGCGTAGGGAATTCTTCACTTCACAGTTGCAGAGATCCCCATAGCCTTTCGTCCTTTACAACTTAAAGCCCTGAATAGGAACATGCCTTTGAGGAGACTTGCATCCTCATCACACAACAAGCAACCAAATCTGGACCATAACACGTGCTGGGGCTGTGGATATACACATATTTGCAAGTGGTGAACAAAGTCTCTAAAACAAAACTCTACAAGAAGTAGGTCACCATAAATACTAAGAGTGATTTCATGAAGTGCTCTGGAATTGTGAACTCTTCCGGAGTCTGCGCAGGGCACCTAGAGTGAAGCCTTTTGTTCTGCTAATGTTGAATGAGGAAGATCTTGTTATTTTAGAATTTACAATTGGTGTACTGAACAGGGTGTAACTCAGGGCCTCCTAGGCTCATGCTTTCTAGAAAGAGTGCGATGTGACAGTCCAAGTCTTTAATGACTGGTAGGCATGGGCAGTAACTAAACAGAGGGACAGTGACCAGCTCACCATACCAGTGTGCAGAACGTCACCTCTGCATAGTGCTAACCCGCAGCCCTACTGACAGGCTGAAAATGTGAAACAATTTTAGGTACCAAAAAGTCTTAACACAGAGACTCCTACAACTGAAGTAGTTTGTGTGATTGACATTGTATCCCTAGAAGACTGTGCCTAAAAGAGAAGACACAATAAATGGCAAACTCATAGGCACTTTTTTATTTGTAACTGAAAATTATCTCACTGCCAGGTGAGACAACAATAACATGCATGACAGGAATGTTTGGTGAATTGGGGAGTGGGGAAGAAGAACTAGTGAAAATTTCTTTTTATTCTGTTTCAAACCCATTTGGTCTGTTAAAATTTATTTAAAACATTCACAGGGAAAATAATTGTCCTCTTTGCTCAGTTGCCTTTAAGAAGTTGCAAGTGGAAGCAGGTTGGTAAAATGCTGAGGCCTGTAATTAATAAAGAAAACTTTCTCAATGCTAAAATAAGCATTATTTGGTGGTGGAGGGGGGTGTTGTTGGAGGGTATGCTGCGAGCGGAGGGGAGACAGTGAGTAGCCTAGTTTCACAGCAACTGCAAAGGTGGGGGATAAAACATCTTGCAAACACCATCTGCGAGCTGTGTACAGCAAGTGCTGGAATGAACCTTCAGAGCAACCCACAGATTTCTGTATGCATCGTTGCAGAGCCAGCCCAGTCTCATAGTGACTACAAAGTGGGGAATAACATATCTGATCATGGCTGATTTGATTTCTCCTTCTCTTCCCCAATGCAGCCCAATCCAGGTGAGGTGACAGGCATGGATGTAGGTCATCCAGGTAGAGGGGATCTGGCAACAGTAACATGGAAGCTGGGCATGGCCTTTCAGAAGCAGTGGGGAACCAAGTTTCAAGGGAAAAGCAAACCAGAATTTTGCAAAGGATGATAATTATCAAAGGCACATTTTCTCTTTTTGTGATAGTTGTTCCTCTCAAATATCTTGCACTGGCCATAAGTCAGCATTCATATTTGTGCAGTAAAGGGTTAGTGCAGCAGATTTAGGTTGTCCCAACCCTGCAGATTCCAAAGAAACTGGCTCTTGACTGCAGCCTGGGAGACAAATTCCAAGCCCTGGAATATCCTGCCTGATGCCAGTATCTTTGAACACCTGAGGCCTTGGCCCATGCTGGACAGTATAGGTTAACAATCCAATTTTTGGTGGGGGCCTTGGGCTATGCTGTATCAGTGTGACCTCTGGAGAGACTGGAGACTGAATAACTGAGATCAGCCACATGAGCATTCCATGCCTATATGGCCAGTTGTCAATAAAATCCCTGAACACCAAGGCTTGAGGGAGCCTCCCTGATTGGCGATGCTTCCTATAGGTTGTGCCACATCATTGCTGGGAGAAGTAAGTGCTGTTGTGCAGCTCCAGTGGGAGAGGACACCTGGAAGCTTATGCCTGGTCTCTCCGGGACTTCACCCCTGTGCCTTTTCCCTTTGCTGATTTTAATATGTATTCTTCCACTGTAATAAACTGTAACCATGAGTATAACCTGAGTTTTGGGAGTCCTTCCAGTGAATCATTGGGAAACTTTCTGTCTGAGGGTGGTCTTTCTATATAACTTGATGATGGTCCTGGGGCCTTCTGGCCACAATGCTGTTCTAGCCCCAACCCAGACTGTCTCCTCCAGAAAGCCCTCAGCTATGAATGCATTGCCCTAAGCACCAGCTGATGGTTAAAGCCCAGACTGTGATTTTACTTCTTGGCTCCCATCTTTCCCTAAAGCTGGACCCTCTCTTCCATGTTCCCAGGGGTCACCTGGCCAGTCATATATATCCTGATCCCCCACCCCTGATCCAGCTCTCACCTTGCCTACTGCCTCAACTCCAGGTCACTGACATGGTTAAGACCAGTCTAGCATCCTGCCTCTGAAACATATTGTCCCAGGGAAGGAACAGACCAAACCCCAAAAAAGGTATTTTCCAGCTCAGTGTTATCCCTACCTTGGCCTCTACCTGCCAAAAGGCAAGGTACATTGTCCTCTGTTCCCAGAGGAAACACAGGGAGTTGCTGGATCATTCTAGGAAGCAGACGAATGTCTTATCTGCTCTCACACCATGCTGAACACTTCCTCAGCTACATCCAGCTGCCTCTGTCTCTTCCCAAACTCCTCGCTCAAATCTCACTCATCTTTCAGGTCTCAGTTCATGTGTTATTTCTTTGGGGACACCTTTCCTATGTCATAGTCTAGGCTGGGGCCTTTGGACTATGCTTTATAAAAACGTGGTCTTTTTTCCAAGCAGTTGAGCTGCGTTTGTGATTATTTGGATCAATGTCTGTCCCCCTGGAGCCTGCAGGTTCAATGTACGCTACATCTGTTTTTGCTCACCATTGTATCCCACACCTAGCACAGTGCCTGGTTGGGTGCTCAAAGATATTTCTTAAATTAAGTATGAAATGTACAAAACACATCAGAATCATTTTGTATTTTGTAAAATCATTACAATGTCCCCTTCCATACATGTATGCTCAATCTTTGCCATCTTTTGCCCTTGTAATTTGGTCATCTGTTCACAACCTTAAAAAGAATTAGAGAAGCGATTAGTTGCCAAGGTAACCCTCATAATTGGGAAAAAGGCAGCTCAGAGGGACACAGATGTGAAGGCCTGGGTGGATCAGTCATGCTCCTTCTGTCTTCCTCTTCCTGACAGTGAAAGGGAACAAAGAACTAACGGCACAAAGCAGCATGAACAACCGCGACGGAGAACAAGCTTCTCTTTGCAAAAATGGATGGAGAAAATTCTGACGTGCTAAAACACAGATGAGGCTTGAAGACATTACGCTAAGTGAAATATACCAGACACAAAAGGACAAACATAATTCCACTTATTTGAGGGACCTAGAGAAGTCAAATGCATAGAGATGAAAAATAGAATGGTTGTTGCTAAGGGCTGAGTGAGGGAGAAATGGAGAGTGAGTGTTTAATGGGTACAATTCCAGTTTGGGAAGATGAAAAAGATCAGGAGATGAATGGTGGTGAGGGTCACACAACAATGCGAATGCCACAGAACTTAATGCCGCTGAACTACATATATACTTAAAAATGGTTAAAATGGAAATTTTTATGTTATGTTGATATGGTTTGGCTGTGCCCCCACCCAAATCTCATCTTGAATTGTAGTTCCCATAATCCCCACGTGTTGTGGGAGGTGATTAGATCATGGGGGCCGTTCCCCCATGCTGTTCTTAGGATAGTTAGTGAGTTCTCTTGGGGTCTGTGGTTGTACAAGGGGCTTTTTCCCCCTTCACTCTGCATTTCTCTCCCCTGCTGCCCTATGAGTAGGTGTCTTCTGCTATGATTGTAAGTTTCCTGAGGCCACCCCAGCTGTGCAGAACTGTGAGTCAATTAAACCTCTTTCCTTTATAAATTACCCAGTCTCCGGTATTTCTTCAGAGCAGTGTGAGAGCAGACTAATACATATGTATATTTACCACATAAAACAAAATTTTAAAAAGCAAATGGAGAGATCATTCTAGTTAATCAGGAATTCAAGGGAAGCAAATTGATGTTTTCCCTTTTAAACACTATAATTGAAGAATGTGAAACTTTATAAAGGCACCATATGGCATATGGGAAATGGGGTACATGGAAAACGGGGCACCAGAGCCACAGTTAGGGAGTCTCCTTGTGACAAGGGGGAGGACACCTTGGCCAGATTCTGCTGCAGCTGGAGACCGAATATGTTTCTATTTATTTAATCTTGTCTCATGAGAGTGTGAAGAAAAATTCTCTTCTTCTTTGGGAGTTTACATGTCAGTTTTATGTATGCCTACAGGTCTTATAGTGGAAAAGCATCATCAACAATTTGAAAAGTGGCTTTCCAGATGGCGAGAGTAGGGGGCTGAATCTCTGCTAGGCTGTTGAGTACCTGCCATGCACCAGCAGGCACCTGGCTCTCCGTTAATCCTCACTCTAGAAGTGCCCCCACAGCATGTCTCAGGAAGAAACCGAGATTAGGAGAGACAAAAAAAACCATCTGGAGGTTATATGACTTCTAAGAGGCAGAGAAGAAAGAGAAATGTGTCCCGTGTCATGGAGGGTGGCTCCATCAGAAACAGAGGTGGTGTACCCTAGCATATCTTTCCTCTTGGGCAGCAGAAGCCTGGCATTACAGCTGTTCCAGACTTAATGTGAGTTACCACCATGTCAACTCCAATTCCTCCCACTGGAATGGAGACCAGCCACAGGCACTCCCTCTGTATAGGATGCTGGGCATTCCCTTGGTTGGTAATGTGGGATCTGTGTGACTTTGAAGATTTCCTGTGAGAGGGACTCAAATGCCAAGATGTCAAGCAGCATATCCCCAGAAAGCAGGAACTCACTGGGAGAAGCTGGGAGGAAATCTCCCAAAACCAACAGTTTTATGTGAAATGAAAGGTCTCAGTCTCAGATCAACTCCTCCCACCCTGCTCCACTCTCACTGTGCTCTGTCAAGCAATGCAGGTTGTTACAGTGTTTGAAGTGAGCTGATACTTGCAGAGGAAAATAAGACATGGAAAATGGGAGAAGAAGATTTTCTCTTTCACACACAACCTACTTTAGACTGCCTCTTGTGTCATCCAAACCCTCTGTCTGATGACACCCATCCCAACAAGTGACACCCTATAATCTCTCATACTTAGAGCCAGGCTGGCCATTGCTTCTGTAAGTTGCTCCAATACCTCAAAGGGCCACAACTTCTGATTAGAGGGCTCCATGTATCAAAGCTCTGAACGATGTATGTTTTCCACGATTGCTGTCCAGAAATGCCTAAGCTAATGATATTTTCTCCCAAGCAGGAGAAATGTGCTATTAACCAACTTGACCAGACCCAGGGAAAGAGGTTGTCAAAAGATGTCAGGCAGACAACCCTATGCAGAAGAATGAAACTAGACCCCCTATCTCTTACCATACACAAAAATCAAATCAAAATGTCATAAAGACTTTAATCTAAGACCATAAAGTAGGAAATTACTAAAAGAAAACATTGGAGAAACGTTCCAGGCATTGGTATGGGTAAAGGTTTTTTTGTGTAAAACCTCAAAGGCACAGACAAGTAAAACAAAAATAGACAAATGGGATTACATCAAGCTAAAAAGCTTCTGCACAGCAAAAGAAACAATCAACAAAGTGAAGTGACAACCCACAGAATGGGAGAAAATATTTGCAAACTATTCATATGACAGGAATTAAAAACCAGAATATATAAGGAGCTAGAACAACTTAATAGCTATATATATATATATCTATAGATATCTAGATATCTATATCTATATATATATCTAGATATCTATATCTATATATATATCTAGATATCTATATCTATATATATATCTAGATATCTATATCTATATATGATTTTAAAATGGGCTAAAGATCTGAATGGACATTTCCCAAAAGAAGACCTACAAATGGCCAACAGGTATATGAAAAATGCCTACCAGCACTGATCATCAGAGAAATGTAAATTAAAACCTCAATGAGATATCCTCTTACTCCAGTTAAAATGGCCTTTATCCAAGAGACAGGCAATAACATGCTGGTGAGGATGCAGAGAAAGGGGAACCCTCACACACTGTTGGTGGGAATGTAAATTAGTACAGCCACTATGGAGAATGGTAAGGAAGTTCTGCACAAACTAAAAATAGAACTACCATTTTGTTCCCAGACCAAACAGAGGATCAGGCTGCTATTTCTCATGGCCCAGTAACGAGATGTAGATGAACTGGGGAGGAAGAGAGTTTTTATTTCTGTAACTGGTTACAGGGAGAAGGCCTGGAAATTGTCGCCAGACCAACTCAAAATTACAAAGGTTTCCAGAGCTAATATACCTTCTAAGCTGTATGTCTACGTGTAAGTGTGCATTCATCTCAAGACATAAGTGATTAACTTCTTTTAATCTGTAACTAAGGTCTGAGTCTTGAAGACCTTCCTCTGGAGCCTCAGTAAACTTCCTTAATCTAAATGGGTCCAGGTGCTGGGGTGATTACTCTTCCCTTGTCTCCTGCTAAATCATGGAGGTTTGGGGAGTTTCTTCAGACCCCCAATAAACTTGTTTGTGGAGGGCTGGGGAGTTTCTTCAGACCCCTAATAAAACTTGTTTAATCATGCTTTAAGGTTCAGGAAAGGCCTGGGCAAAACTCTTGGTGGGCTTTTGCAACATTCCAGCCTTTGTATAAGGGCACTGGCTTTTTTTTAGCTTTTAATATTTAACTTAACCACTCAGTCAGTACTGAAACAGTTGTTATGGAGGCCTGTGTTAGCAAGACCTGGCCTGCCACAATATGATCCAGCAATTCCTCTACTGGATACACAGTCAAAAGAAAGGAAATCAGTATAGCAAAGAGATAGCTGCATTCTTATGTTTACTGCAGCACTGTTCACAATAGCCATAATATGAAATCAACCTAAGTGCCTGTCAAGGGACAAACTGGATAAAGAATATGTGGTACATATACTCGATGGAATACTCCTCAGCCATAAAGTAATGAAATCCTGGCATTTGTAGCAACATAGATGGAACTGGAGGCCATCACATTAAATGAAATAAGCCAAGCACAGAAAGACAAATACTGCATGTTCTCACTTGCATGTGGGAGCTAAAAACGTGGATCTCCTAAAGATAGAAAGTACTTTGGTGGTTACCAGAGGCCTGGAAGGGGAGAGAGGGTGATGAAGAGAAGTTGATTAATAGATATAAAAATGCAGCTAAATAGCAGGAATAAGATCTAGTGTTTGACAGCAGGGTGACTATAGTTAACATTAATCTATTGTACATTTCAAAATACCTAGAAGAGAATAATTCAAGCGTTCCTAGCATAAAGAAAAGAAACATTTGAGGCAATGAATATCTCAATTACCCCAATTTAATCTTTACACATTATATGAATGTATCGAATTATCATATGTACCCTGAAAAGATGTGCATCTATTATGTATCAATTTTTTACAGTCAGGCAACTTTCTGTAATGCAGAGCCGGACCTGGCCACCAGAGGCTGAAGAGGTGTGGTGGTGGCAGCTGCTGCAGCTCCTGCTGCCTGTGGCAGGAGCAAGCACAGGAAGAAGCTGGGAGAAGGGCCAGAGACCCACAGAGACACGCGGCTGTGCTGCGTCAGCCTGTGTGGGCGCTCCAGTGGAGTGAGTCGCCAGTGAAGGACTGAGATGAATCAGTAGCTGGGGTGCAAGTCTAGGGGCCAAGGAGCCTGAGTGTGGAGGCCCGAGGGTCTGCAGGACCTGGTAGCATGGCTGTGGTGAGATGGGGTGAAGTGGGCTCATGCACAACTGGAGAGGTCTTGTGTTCTAATAAAATCACAAAAGTAATCGATGTTCAGTGTCAAAAATTCAAACAAAACAGAGGCATGAGAGTGAAACTAAAGGTTTCTGCCCTTCTCTGAAAGCAATTTCTCTTCTTCTCCCAGTGAGAAACTGTGAGCAATCTGCTGTCTACCGTTTTATTCTAGGAAATCTGTAGACTTTATTCCCCCTAGTCAGATGTCACACGAAATGTTATATTCCCTTTTTTCCTGTGTCTTTTTTTTGGCAGTGATAAAAATACATAACTTAAAACGTACCGTTTTCACCTTAAGCACACAGTTCAGTGGTGTTAAGTGTAGATGCTCCTTGACTCACTATGGAGCTATGTCCTGATAAACCCGTGGTAAGTTGAAAATATTGTAAGGTAAAAATGCAGTTGACACACCTAGGCCAGGCATGTTGACTCACATCTGTAATCCCAGCACTTTGGGAGGCCAAGGAGGGAGGATCTCTTGAGCCCAGGAGTTCCAGACCAGCCTGGGCAACATAGCAAGACCCATATCGCTACAAAAAAATTAAAAATTAGCCAGGCATGGTGGCATGCTCCTGTAATCCTAGCTACTTGGAAGGCTAAGGCAGGAGGATCACTTGAGCCCAGAAGTTTGAGGCTGCAGTGAACTAGTATTGCACCACTGCACTCCAGCCTGGGCAACAGAGAAACCTTGTCTCTCTCATATATATATATATGTGTGTGTGTGTGTGTATACATATATATGTTAGATGTGTATCTATCTATATATGTAGATAACACACACACACACACCCCTAACATACTGAACGTCATAGCTTAGCCTCGCCTACCTTAAACGTGTTCAGAACACTTACATTAGCCTATAGTTGGGCAAAATCATATCCCAAAAATGCTGGCAACCCAGTGCGCCGCAGAGTGTCGGTTGTTTACCCTCGTGATTGTGCCCCTGACTGGAGCTGTGGCTTGCTGTTGCTGTCCAGCATCATGAGAGAGTACACCGCTGCACACACTAGCCCAGGATAAGATCAAAATTCAAAATTTGAAGTACGATTTCTACTGAATATCACTTTTGCACCATCACAAAGTTGAAAAATCATAAGTCAGACCATTGTAAATTGGAGACTGTACATTCACAGTGTCTTGCAATCATCACCACCATACATCTCCATAACTTCTTCATCTTCCTGAAGCGAAACTTTGTTAAACAATTGTTAAATAATAACTGTCCATTGCCAGTTCCTGGAAAGAAACCACCAATACACTTTCTGTCTCTATGAATTTGACTACTCCTAAATCTCATATAAGTAGAATCATACAATATTTGTCCTTTTGTGACTCGTTGATTTCACTCAACTTACGTCCTCAAGGTTCATCCATGTTGTAGCATGCTTCAGAATTTCCTTCCTTTTAAAGACAGAGTAACATTCCATTGTATGGTTTATTTTGGACACACGGGTTGCTTCTACCTTTAGGCTTTTGTGAATGATGCTGCTCTGTGAACATGAGTGTACAAATATCTGTCCAAGTCCCTGCTTTCAGTTCTTTTGGGTGTAGCCTCAGTGGAACTGCTGGATCATATGGCAATTCTGTTTAATTTTTTGAGCAACTGCCATCCTGTTTTTCACAGTGGCTGCACAATTTTACATTCCCATAAAAAATGCACAAGAGTTCCAATTTCTCTCCATATCCTCACCAATATTCATACCTTTATAATAACCATTCTAATGATTGTGATGTTGTGTCTCATTGTGGGTTTCATTTGCATTTCTCCAGTGATTAGTGAAGCCAGGCATCTTTTCATGTGCCTTTTGGCTGTTTTCATATCTTCTGTGGAGATGTTATGTCTATTCAAGTCCTTTGCCCATTTCTTAATTGGGTTAGTTTTTTTGTTGTTGAGTTGTAGGAGTTCTTTATACATCCTAGATATCAATCCCTTATTAGATATATGATTTACAAATATGTTTTCCCAATCCATGGGTTGCCTTTTCACTGTTGCTATTATCTTGTGAAATTGTCTGCCACAAAAGTCTTAAGTTTTGATGAAGTCCAATTTATCTACATTTTCTTTTGTTACCTCTGCTATTGGGGCCATACTTAAGAAAACATTGCCAAATCCAGTGTCATGAAGGTTTTCCCATATGTTCTCTTCTAAGAGTTTTATAGTTTTTTGTCTTACGTTTCAATCTTTGATCCATCAAGTTTATTTTTATATATGGTATAAGGTAAGGATCCAACTTCTTTCTCTTGCATGCAGATATTCAGTTTTCCTAGCACCACTGTTGAAAAGACTATCCTTTCCCCCATTGCATGGTCTTAGCCCCTGTTACTTGTACAAAAAATCTAATTAAATCTGAATCCAAGCCCCCATTCCCATCACTGGGGCTTCCCCCATCCCAGAATGGCACAAAGATCCCTGGATATATACCAGCCAAGGAGGTCTTCATCTGCTGTGTGAGCCCACAAGGTCCCTTCAGGTCAGGTGGCTTTGCTGAAGCTGTGCCAAGTTTGAGGCAGGGCATTGGCAGCCTTGACAAGCATAGGTACCTTGTTCTCTTGGGGCACATCGGGTTTCACCCTCATCGAAGTTTGCTACTTCCTTGAGCAATATGAATTTTCCCTCTTATCTTGTCTAAGCCCCTGCCTCCTGCTCCATTTTAGTCATAGGGAAATCTCTTGCTTTCCCTTGCTACTTGTTACCATAAGGCATTCTCTCTCTTCTCTGACTCTCAAAGGCACGCCCTAGTGTAATCTCTTCAGTGATCTGGAATTTTACACAATACAGGAAGACCTATTGACTTCTAACAGCTTCTGTTTTCTGCCCTGTAAAACTCATGAAGCAAGAAATTACTAAAGACCTTGAGGTAGGGGGTAAACAGAGAACAACGCACAAAATAGTATAAAACACACACACAAATAAAACAGGATTACAAAGTTGATCCTACCATACATAATATTCTCCAGCTTGCTTTTTAAACTAAAGAATATATCAGACAAAGCTTTTCTTCTCAATTAAAATTACACCAATTCTATCTTTTAAAAAAAGAATATAACAGACATATTTCTTTGCAGATGTAGATCCTGAGATCTACAACTTTTTCAAACAACTAGGCAGTATTGTATTCCATAATTTATTTAGCTATCTCTCTCTTAATGGAGATGTTTTTTTCCGTGAAAAAAGATGCTACCCTTGTACATGTGTTTTTGTGCACATAAGCATATATTTCTGTAGGAGAGAAACTTAGAAGTTGAATTACTGCATTATTGGGTTGTTGGGCATATGCTCTTCATATTTAAGTAAATATTGCCAACTCCTTAAAAATGTTGAACTAATTTCTACTTCCAGAATATCTGAGCACATCAATTTTCACACATCCTTACCAATCCTGGTCATTATCAATCATTTTCTTTTTATTTACCCATCTTGTGGGTGAAAAATAACATTTTATTATTATTTTGTTCAGCATTTCCCTAATTACTGGAGAGGTTGAGCATCTTTTGGAGTTTATCAACAGCATCTACTTTGTCTTCATGATTATCTTCTCCTAGTTTTAAAATTTTTTCTTTCATTGATGCTAAAGAGAATGCAATTTTCTATTTCATGGATGTTGAACTGTTGTCTTATATAAGTTACAATGTTAGATTCCAGCTGTAACTTATGTGTCAACTTTATTTATGGTTGAGATTCAGACTTAATTAGCAAAAGATGGAACCACAGCAGCAGTAAATTTTCCAGAGCTCCCCCAGGTAACTAACCAGCCAGGGTTGAGAATCAATAATGTAAAGGATAAAATACACAGGGACCAAGAACCAGGAAATGCTTCAGATGTAACTGATTTACAGAGCAGTCTTAAGTCACTGAGATATAAACACAAGGCCATTGTTATACCAGCCCTACGATTGCCCTAGTTTTCTCTTGCTTTCAATTTCATGAAGGCCAAATGTTTCTTTCCAGCCCAACTTGCCCCCATGGCTTCCCGTTGCCTTTACAATTAAATCTAAACTTCTTATATGGCTCCTAAGTTCCTGCATGATCTGGCCCTGTGGATTCAACTTCATTTTAAGCCCCTCCAATCCTTGCTCACTTGCATCCCTCACATCCTTCTGCTCTCTGACTGCACCGAGGCGTTTGAAATTCAGGACCACAGTCCTGAGAAAGTACACCCAAGGCAGTTGGATTACAGTTTAGTTTTACACATTTTAGGGAGGCAAGAGTTGTAAACAAAGACATAAATCAATACATGGAAGGTATACATTGGGTCAGCCTGGAAAGGTGAGATATCCTGAAGCGGGGGAGTGCAGGTCATAGGTGGGTTCAGAAATTCTTTAATTAGTAATTGATTAAAGGAGTAAAGCTCTGTCTAAAAATTTGGAGTCAACACAAGGAATGTTTAAGTTAAGGAAGTCAGTTCATCTTCCTGTGATGTTATGCAAGAGCTGGGCTGCAAGAACAAGCCACACTGCTCTAGTCAGAGTGACCTGTGGGGCACGCGATTTAACCCTTGCCTGCCTGGCCTGGCTTAGGTCCTGTTTATAATTTGGTATCTTATTGCCACAAAGAGTCTGCCCTGTCAGTCTTGTAATCTCTATTTTGACATTAATCCTTGTCAGCTGTTGTGTCTAAACTGTGAAGGGGTGGGGGGAGTGTAATGAGGTGTGTCTGACCTCCCATTCTGTCACGGCTGGAAACTCCAGTTTTAAGGTTTCCCTGGGGTCCTCTTGGCCAAGACAGGTCTGTTCTGTTGGTTAGGAGGCTTAGGATTTTATTTTCAGTTTACATCCTGCACCAAGCACAGCATTTGATGCACAGACAATGCTCAAGAAAGCTTCTGAAATGAATGAATCAACGCACTGGCGGTGGCGGCAACATGGCATCTGGTTTGAGGCCGCGCGCCTGCAGGCAAGGAGACTAGATAGAAGGGCACTGTGCTTGTCTTAAAGAGACCACGAGACCAGGCATGGTGGCTCATGCCTGTAATCACAGCACTTTGGGAAGCAGAGGCAGGCGGATCACCTGACATCAAGAGTTCGAGACCAGCCTGGCCAACATGGTAAAAACTCGTCTCTACTAAAAATACAAAAATTAGCCAGGCATGGTGGCAGTCACCTGTCATCCCAGCTACTTGGGAGGCTGAGGCCAGAGAATCGTTTGAACCTGGGAGGGGGAGGTTGCAGTGAGCCAAGATGGCGCCATTGTACTCCAGTCTGGGCAACAAGAGCAGAACTCTGTCTCAAAAAAAAAAAAAAAGGAGAGAGAGAGAGACTGCAAGCCTGATTTAAAGCAGTAGGGCTCGAGATACAAAAGACTGGTGGATTGGAGTGGTAGTCAGTGGTAGAATCAACTTACCTCAGTGATTCAGTAGGTGTGTAAAAGAAGAATCAAGAACTCATTCAACAAGTACTTTCACTTCTGTCTGGCTTTGTCAACTGATGAGTGGTGATGCCCTTCGCTACACAGAAGATACAGGAAGGAAACACATTTCTTCTCTGTTGTTCACTCAGGGTCCTCTGTTCCTCTGCTTGGGCCCAGGGAAGTTTCCGATATTTCCCCATGTTCCTCCAGGAACAGAGCTGCAACCATCCTCATAACAAACATCTGTGAATACCTGCTCTGTTTAGTACATGCGTAGCTGTTTTTGGAATCCTGTCACTTAAAAAAAAAAACCCACAAATTCCAAAATAGCAAAATTCTGACATGAATATGGGTTTCTTATTTAACTACAATTTTACTGTGAAATGATGGTATGAATTTGCAACTTCAAAATTTTATCAAATGGTTAAAGATAAATATGATTGAGTTCCTGCACTTAAGATGCAGATTCTGCCTCTGTGAGAGATGAGACTAGAAATGGGGCTGCCAGCAGGTTCAGGGTGTGGATAAGCCTCTGCCACCTGTGTGGCTCTGAGGGCAGCCCATCATTCTCCTGCCTTTAGAGACTGTGAGTCTCTCTGGATGTGTTATCTATCTTTATTTCTATCTGTCACTTTGATTCATTGGTCAAGGAGCTCTTTATCTACATTGAAAAATATCCATAGGTGGGAAGGAAATTAAGACTGTGTTAAGGTGGGGTGTGCATGGGGGTGGTGTGGGGTGTGCATGTGTGTGTGTGTGAGATATGTATTGCATTGTGCTGTGTGTGGTATGTATTTGGTGTGCATGTGTGTTGTGTGTGGTGTGTTTGTGTGGAATGTGTGCATTGTGTTTTGTATGTGCGTGGTTTGTGTATGTGTGTGGTGTGTGATGTCTGTTGTGTATGTGTGTGGTGTGTGTGTGTTGTGTCTGTTGTGTATTTTGTGTGGGGTGTGTATGGTGTGTATGTACGTGTGTGTGGAGTATCTATGTGTGTTGTGGGTGTGTTATGTATGCACAGGGCATGTGTGTGTTGTGTGTTGTTTATGTAGGGTATGCGTGTGACAGGGATGTGCAGCTGGTTTGGTGGGTTCAGCATGGATTCTTTCTACCACCACCTCACCTTTTTGGATGGAAGTTAAAGTTGGTTTCTTAATTTACTGAGATTTTAACCAATTCCATCTTTTAAACTTTCATGTGTGCCAAGGGATAAATGAAGATTTCAAATAGACAGTCCCAGTGTCCTAAGCCAAGACCCTAAAATACTTTGGTTTGCAAAAATCTACAGCTCAACCCATCACTCGATAATTTTCTGAAAGAATGAATTCATTTAATATTGGCCATTTTAACAGTGGTTCTCAACCATAGCTGTGTCCCATAATCACCCAGGGAGATATTTTTTAACGTAGATTAAGAGCTTCCAGACCAATCAATCAGAATCGCCAGGGTGGTAACCAACTTCTTCTTCTAAGCTGCCAAGGTGCTTCGGATGAGCAGCCACTTATAGAACTGATAACAGATTGGCAGCAGCCCTCTTGGGGTGCAAGTTTGTCCTGTGCTGCTGAGGACCTTTGGTGTCAATTTCTGTAGGCAGAGCTACACCCTTTGGGCCTGGCTATGTGAAGTGTGGTCCAGTGACCAGCAGCATCCATGTCACCTGGAAGCTCGCTGGAAAAGCCTCATCCCAGAGCTACTGAATCAAAACCGGCCTTTTCCCTAGACTTCCAGATGCATCACAGGCACATTCAAGCTTGTGGAGCACCACTGAGTGTCAGCGGTCTCACTACTGGCTGCACACTAAAATACTGATGCTTGGGCCCCAACTCCGGAGATCCAGATGTGATCTGCCTGGTATTGGGAATTTTTACCATCTCCCCAGGTGAATTCTAAGAGAGGCAAGGCGGAGAACCACTGATCCAAATGGCTTTCAGTGATTTGCAACCTGCCTTTCATCCTAGCAGGTTTTGTTGGGATATGCCTCATGGTGGGAGTTCAAATCCTACAAAAATAATCCCAACCTCTTCTTCACCAGAACAGAAACCGAGTCAACTTTAAGCCTGGGTCTTCCCTTCCTTTTTGGTATTTGGAATGAAAAGACTTACACTTACATAGGGTTATTTATATTTGAGGCAGTTTCCTCCCAGCAGATAAACATTTAAAGTTTGAATGTTTTGTATATTTCAGATCTTCACACAGAGAAACAATCAACCACAATAGAGCTACTAATAGCTGAAGGGAGTTAAGAATTTACAAGCCCCAAATATGCAGCTGTGGCATATTGACTATTTTGAGTTAAAGGCACTTAAAAAACAGCAGGTGCAAGAAGATCACTCTGAGCTTCATTCTGTTTCTAAAGAGGAGAGGAAATTCTCATGTGAAAAGATATCATCGTATACCAAAAGAAGTGTTATGCTTATCATCAGGGACTGGAAGTTGATGCCAAGGGAAATTTGTGCAAACAAACCTTGTTAGACTAGCCCTTATCTTCCTAGTCACTTCTCTACCCAATTAACTGCCCAGCCCAAGCCTTATCACATTTTCACAGTTTACTACTCTTTGTCCAACTCAGCATGTAAGTGTTTGACTCTAGTTGTATCTTTGGGTCTTTATTTCCTTATGAAGGCTCCAACGCCACATAAAACTTGTATTAAGTGAATGTGTATGCTTCTTTCCTATTGATCTGTCTTATGTCGGTTTAATTCTCAGGCCCAGCAAAACAACAACAACAACAACAACAAAAACACTTTCAAACTCCCCTACATGGTAATTCTCAGAGTGGAACATATACAGACAGGCTCATAGTAGGAAGAAAAGAAAAAGAAAAGGAAGACAGCTCCACAACACACAATGCTAGGCCAGAGGATTACCCCAAAGGTAAATCAACACCTGGGACCCTGCAGCAAGATCCTGTGATCTTTAACTTCTTGCCAAAAAGAAAATGCCTCAAACTACAGCATTATGAGAAGTCTGACCACTTCAAAGTAATCCAATGTGACTTTTAGAGTGGACAGAGCCACCAGGAGTGGTGGCTTGCCCCTGTAATCCCAGCTACTTGGGAGACCGAGGCAGGAGGATCCCTTGAGGCCAGGAGTTTGAGGCCACAGTGAGCTATGGTCTCACCACTGCATTTCGGCCTGGGCAACAGAGCGAGATCCTGTCTCTATAATTAATTGATTAAAATAAAGTAGACAAATCCTTTGAAAAGGATTTTCTGCTGGATTTGCAGCTTTTCGCTGTTTTCATCTGAGCTTCTCAAGAGAGTTGAAGAGATGTTGCAGAGAAAGTAAAGTTGAATTGTGAGTGACAGACGTGGAGGAAAATACCTGTTTGAAAATCTTGTGATGATAGATGAAGATAACTGTTTTCCAAACATTTTCTAGAAAGCTGGAGGAATATATGGCTAAAAGCACAGGTTCTGCCTCTGCCTGAGTTTAAATTCTTAGTCTCTCCTTTGTATCTATGATGGAGAAAGTTACTTCCTGAACTATAGTCTCTTCATCTGAAAATAGGGGTAATAACAATATCTATCTCCTAGGTAAATGTAACACATGTCTGAGGCATTAAGCATGACACCTGGTATCTCATAAACCCTCAGGAAATGTTAGCTATTATTTAAAAACCTTACTAATATACCTATTTTGTGGATAAGGCAACAAAGGGCTAGAAAGGTGAAGTATAACAAGCCCAAGGTAGAGGCAAGATTTGAACCTAGGCATTCTGACTCCAGCACGTCATATGTAAGTACCTAATTACTACGCACTGGTGCCTCCTGATGGCCCATTCCCCTTCCCTGGCGGGCCCTCCCCCTACCCCTCCTCCTCCTTCTTCTTCTCCTCCTCCTCCTCTTCCTCCCCTTCCTCCTTCTTCTTCTCCTCCTCCTCCTCTTCCTCCCCTTCCTCCTCCTTCTTCTCCTCCTCCTCCTCCTTCTTCTCCTCCTCCTCCTCTTCTTCCTCCTCCTTCTCTTCCTCCCCCTCCTCCTCCTTCTTCTCCTCTTCTTCCTCCTCCTCATCTTCTTCCTCCTCCTCGTCCTTCTTCTCCTCTTCCTCCTCCTCCCCCTTCTCCTCCCCCTTCCCCTTCCCCTCCTTCTTCCCCTTCCCCTTCCCCTTCTCCTTCTTCTTCTCCTTCTTCTTCCTCTTCTCCAGACAAGGTCTTGTTCTGTTGCCCAGAGTGCATTGGTGCAAAAATGGATCACTGCAGCCTCAACGTCATGGACACAAGTGATGCTCCGGCTTCAGCTTCCCAAGTAGCTGGGACTACAGGTGCACCACCATGC